>NW_003571060.1:258362-440546 GCF_000001405.40 Homo sapiens | reverse complement strand
ATCTGTAGGCTCCTGCATGGGCAGGCGTTACAGGACCCATGGAAAAGACAGCCTCGACGTAATGGATCCCAGCCTCCATCCCCTGGTCAAGCTGCTGGGAATGCTGTATGTGCCCCTCTTTGTATAAGATAAATTCATCAAAGGCCAGTTCTGAGTGACAGCGCAGGCTCACCCTGGCTCCTGCATGCACCAGGGAGCTTGGGTGCGCTGAGATGGAGGGTTTTGTGAACAAGCCTGAGAGCAGAGACAGAGGAGTTCACATGAGTCTCCTTCCTCACCCCTCGCCTGAGACCTCAGGGGGAAGCTGTCCCTCATCACCCCCAAAGCCCGTCTGCGTCCTTCCTGTTTGTGTGCGTGCATGTTCTCTCTGCGCGGATCCCCATTGTCTGGCTTGAAACCATATGAGATGTGGGGTTCTCCCGGAAAATGGGAATTACTCTGTGCTTTGAGAACCTTCAGAAAACACACTGCTGGACTTAGGTTCCCTGGCATGGGACTGTGAGGTTATGAGCCTCACTGTTTTTCAACTCTGCGTGTTGAAAAATACAAGAATCTCTGGAGGATCAGAAGAAATCTCACAGGCTCACACTGAAGGAACAACTGGTTTTGCCCCAAAACCCAAGAGGTTAGACGTGACTACTTGTTGGGGAGGGTGGAAGTGACTCCTTTTCCCTATTTAGGCAGAAGGACACGGTAAACTCCTTTCCTGGGCAGCCCCTCACAGTCCCAATCTCCATTCAGATCCTCCAGGAGCTTTCGTAGCCTGGATCTCCCTGCCTCACCCCAACCTGCTTTCCCCGCTCTCTTGGTGGAAAGACCCAATCTCTTCTCTGTTTCTTCTGAGCTCCTTGAATGTGAGACTGCCAAATTAAAATACATGCATTGTCAATGTTGTAAAATGGTTGTACAGCAAAACTGAAATGTTTATTCTGTCATTTTCAAAGTTACAAATTAATGACTTGCAAATTGAGAACTATTTTCTAGTTCTTAAATTTTTCTCCCATGCTTCAAGAAGTTAACAACAAAAACTGATTTTGCATTATTAACACAGAACCAACCGTGAAAATCCTGGTTCTTGATGTTTTCTCTGAAATCCTTCCTTGACTCACGGTTCAAGGCACAGATCTCTATCTTTCTCTTCCAGAAAACTCTACTCTCTCTCTCTCTTTATGTGTATATTTACATACATATATAAAATATGAATAACTCCACACTCTCCCTTCCCTGCTTTATAGGATGGGCAGGGGCGACTCCACAGGATGAGTTTCTAACTCTCCGTGAGACACTCTGCACATCCATGAGAGAGAAGGGATGAGTGTCACGAGACTGGGAAGGAGGAGGAGAGGAATGGGTGCATTTCCCAATCCATGTCCCACTGAGCCACTGGACTCATCTCCCGAGGGAACTGTCACTTCCCCAAGCCTCTGGCTCCTTCGAGGCAGAGTAACGACTTCCCCGAGGGAAACACTGGTGCTGGGGTCAGGCAACATGGCTCCTCCCTGGATCCAGCTGGGGTCAGGCAACATGGCTCCTCCCTGGATCCACCCTGCTGCAATTGGTACCAGCACCCTGCGTCTGCTACTCCCCAGGCAGATTCTCCTGCTGCTCGGCTTCCTCCCTCCTCCTCCACCTGGGTACCTGATTCCTCACAGGAAATGCCCTCTCTTTAAATTCCCAGGATGGCTTCTGTGTCCACGGTTAGTGCATGACTAGGAATCCCACAACAACTCTCTGGCTTCATTGGGTGTGGACTCTGGGCAGGTCCATCTGGACACCGGTTGGACGTGGGGTGGGCTGGACTTCTCCTACCTGTGACGATGATCTTCAGGGAGTTGCTCTCAGCTGACCACTTTGAGGCGTGCTTGTAAATTCCAACACATCTGTAGGTCCCTGCGTGTTCTGGGGTCACAGGGCTGATGGTGATGTTGTTGGAAAGGCCAGTGTGCAACTCATGGCTTCGGGTCCCAGTTGTTTGGAATATTGTCCATATGACAAACCGAAGATGGGAATGACAGGAGAGAGTCACACGTCCTCCTAGGGGAACCACAGGGCTCGGCCAGGCTGACAGGGAGAACTTGTCCTGAGCACCTGGAAGAGAAGGAGGCACAGCCTAGAGAGGGAAATGTGGAGCCCCCCGTCTCCCGCTGTCCTTGGGGGCATTTCCTTCTTTACATTGTTCTGGTTTGCCCTGTAACGTGGGGTCCCCTGATGCCCTGGGATACCTGGTCGCAAGCCAGGGACACAGCCACCCCAGAGTGGACATGGAAGGTCTCCCCAGAACAGAATTCTACTAAGCATGATGATACAATATTGAGCCAAGTTGCTCCTAGTTCTTGTCTACAACAGAAATCTGTACATGGAGGAGAAGGAGGAATCTACCAGATTCAAGCAATACAAAAAACATATCAACTCATTTAACAATTCCCAACACAAGTGCCCAGCACGGGTCCCTGCCTCCTGACAGAGAGTACTCCTACCCTACCCACCCCCAGACACGCTGGATTCTGAGCATCACAGGCTCCTTCAGGAGATTGGATGAGCCTGAGGGGCTGCCTATGGAGGGTTTCTAGAACAAAATGGAGCCTAGGGTCTCCAGAGGACTCCCTTCCTGTGTTCCCAGTGCTCACTGCAAAGCCCACCCCATGTCATCTACATCAGCCTGACTTCGTGTCCACCCTCCCTGCCTGGAGAATCATTTGTGTTTGGCCAACACAGCATCCTAGGACTGGGATAGGACTCACCCGCATGTGGGCAGATCTTCTGGTTCAGGCAGAATCCTAGGCAAAAAAAAAAAAAAGAGAGGAGAGAGAAAAATAGCTTGTCTTCATGTGAATCCTTCCCTCCTTGTAACTGGGTTTGTCAGCTCAGCCTGGATTCAGAGGGTGGATGAACCTGGCTTCCCACCACCAGACCTGGGTTGTGGAGAGGCCAGGTCTTCAAGAGAGCATTTTCCATCCCAACCGTGTCCTCCTTTCCCTTCCAGGACTTACCCAGACACAGGACGGTGATGAGTTTGGGGGCCATGGTGCCACTTCTATTGGGCAGGACACAGGGGTTGAGCTAAATTGGAAAATGAACAGGATGTGGTAACCATGGTTCCAGTTTCAGTTTGCAGAGTTTAGAGGGTGCCCCACACAGGAAGATGACCAGCTCTCACCCTAAACATAGTGGGTGACACAGGAAACTTGCAGACGGTATTCTTGGTTCAACAGAGCCCCTAACAAAGGCCTGACTTGAACCCTAGCACCGACCAATCCATAATGTCTATATTTCAAATTTAATTTTTCTATGTGCAAAAGTGTAGAATTGTATCTTAATATCTTATTGCCTTTTTTGAGAACTATGCATGATTTGATTTCTGTGATGCAAGGTTCTCCGCCAAATTAAAATAGATGCACTGTCAGTGTTGTAAAACGGTTGTACAGTAAAACTGAAATGTTTATCCTGTCATTTTCAAAGTTGCAAATTAATTACTTGCAAATTAAGAACAATTTTCAAGTTCTTCAATTTTTCTCCTATGCTTCAAGAAGTTAACACCAAGAAAAACTGATTTTGCATTATTAACACAGAAGCGAGCGTGAAAATCCTGGTTCTTGATGTTTTCTCTGAAATCCTTTCTTGACTCACAGTTCAAGACACAGATCTCTATCTTTCTCTTCCAGAAAACTCTACTCTCTCTATGTGTATATTTACATACATATATAAACTCTGAATAACACAAACATATGTGCATATAACGCTGAAGGTTCTCCCCAAAAGCCAATTCATTTTATTAAAAAATTAGTAAGATTATAGCAAGAAAAAAAGCCCTGTGAAATCCACACTGAAAAAAAACAGCATATTCATAAAAATAGTATCAACTCATGCTTTGTCTCTCATCTGTCCCAGAACTTCTCAATGTATGAAAACCACACACATACAATTTTGGATCTTTTCTGTGTTATTTTTGTAAATATGTGTCTCTGATATCATAGCTATCATCTGGTAATATTTGTGTGTGTGTATGTACGTATATTTTTACGTTTTAAATATAACACAAAAGGATAGTTTGTTTTGTGTTTTTGATTGTAAAATGATACCGCTATGCTCCTAATGCTCTGCATAGCTCTTGTTTATTTAACAACAGACAGACTGCAGTAAATCGCTTGCATATTCCTCAATGTATTTGTCCTTTTGGGCAGATATGATGTATGTTTTCACCGGACATTTTGTTTTTTGGAGCAATGTTTGCCGGAGCATTCTTGCCTGAGTGTCCTGGGTTTTATGAGTGAGTTTCCCTGAGTACACACCCCAGGGTGGGACTGCAGGACATGGGGAATGTCAAGATAAAAATAAACTGACAAAAACACATGTTTTACAGAGTGATGACCCCAAAACTGCCAGCAACCGTTGTCAGATTCTGTTGTTTTTTCCACTTCTCAGAAAATACCTGATTACAGATGACAGAGGATGAACTTGATGTTAACATTTACTTAAATATATTCTACAATAGAAAAATATGTTGAATAAATGCTGTGATACAAATATCTGTACCTGTAAGCAAATGTATCACCTATGAGAAATAATTTTTACAAATCAATGGTGCCATTTATTAAACATTGTGCTATGTTTCATAAAATGTGTTATAATTGATTGACTTGGAAGTGAGATTTGCAAAGTTCAAGACCTCAGTAGTGGACAGTCACCCTGCAAGCAAACACACGGGACAAATACCCACTTAAAAATATGACGCATGCATTGGTTAAAAATGAGGAGAACTTGTTAATTGACGTTGCTAAATGTACTTCATGGTGTTTACGGGTTTCTTGCCAGGAAGACAGCTTAGCAGTGTTTACACATTGGGATGAGGCCAACAGCTTTATGAAGTAAACTGTTTTAATCCAGTGCAATTTTTATTTAGTACAAATTAAAGTTCTAAGAAGTAAGCGTACACTGGACTGTGAGAACAAGACACAGCATAAGTAATAGCAGAGGGGCCATGGCCTTTGAAGAAGGAAAATTTGAACACTGATAACTTCAAAAGTTTGGCTTTTGAAGGTGAGGGTTAAGTCCATAAAAATTTCAAAGCGTTCCATGAAATTGGAAATTTTTAATTTTATATTGAAGAATGTGATTCTGTGCTTTTTAAAGCAGTGTTGAGAAGTATAAATAATTACAGGAGTTAATTTGGGATATTGATGTGGGGCATATTTTGATTACTGAATTCAATACCTAAATTCGCAACTCTTCACTAAAACAAGCTCTACTAAATATTGAATGCCCTTGATGCATTACATGGTAATTAGTATGTCTTTAAACTATTTTCCTTCATGAATTATTTCCAGAAGGACCCACATCATCTGTAGATCTTAGGTATATCGTGCAAATTTTCCAGAAGTGCTGCCCAAACAATAAATACAAATAGTTGATGAATTAGGTAAAGAAACAAGGCTCTTGCAGGCAAGAGCCAGTGGTGAGTTTCGTGTCCATTCATGATGATTTAAAAGGTTCTATTCACTTGAGGTACATTTAAAGAAATTTCGTAGCCTAATCTCCTAACAGGCTTATGGATTCCTCTGGAAAAACATATAAAAGAGTAAATTCAGAAGGTCAGAAATAAGCCATACCTGAATTTTTCAAATATGGATCCTGGACAAATAAACTAGATCCTATCTATTCCTTGCTTGCGTTCTCTTCTTCAAAAATTCCAATTTTAAAAACATTGGGTGTTCTTGATCTGTCTTCATATGACTGTACCCTGGCTGATTATTTTTTAAATATGTATATGTTTCCATCCCTTTTTATATACTTTCTGCAAGCATGCCTCTCTCTGTTTCCAGCTACAGTTACTTTATCTTTTCTGTATTTTAATATGTTTCACTTATTTAATACATTTCTTATAAATTCACGAATTTCTTTTTATTTTTACCTCACTTTTAGCATCATTAAAATGAGGGAAATAACTCTTCTAACTTATATAACATTTCTATGTTTTGGTGTTTTAATGCATTTTATTTATTTATTTATTCATTTATTTATTTTAAGACGAAGTTTCACTCTTGTCGCCCAGGCTGGGGTGCAGTGGCATGATCTCGGCTCACTGCAACCTCTGCCTCCCAGGTTTAAGAGATTCTCCTGCCTCAGCCTACCGAATAGCTGGGATTACAGACCCCCACCACCACACCAGCTAATATTTTGTAATTTTAGTACAGATGGGGTTTCGCCATGTTGGGCAGGC
Source organism: Homo sapiens (assembly GCF_000001405.40). Lineage (NCBI taxonomy): Eukaryota > Metazoa > Chordata > Mammalia > Primates > Hominidae > Homo > Homo sapiens. The sequence continues at coordinate 434,329 of NW_003571060.1, read as the reverse complement.
TGGTCTCGAACTCCTGACCTCAGGTGATCCGCCTGCCTTGGCTTCCCAATTGCATTTTATTTTTGAAAGAAACTCGAGGTGCCTCAAATTTCTCTGGGGCTATCTCATATTTGTATCACTTTCACTTTCTGAATAGTTTCCCTTCTTATACACAAAAATTTTATTAGGGTATACTTACGCTTTGCTTTTTCTTTACAGCAACCATGACAGTTTAAAATCTGATTACTCTTCATTGTTAAGAGGAATGAGCTCCTTCCTCAATACTAACGTGAAGTAGGCAGCACCTTGAATTCTGGTCATCTCTTATCTTCAATTGGTGGAGGGAAGTCAACACATCCCAATAAACCTCCAGTTTCTTCTGCCCATTGGACAATTTCTTCTGCAGTTTTGCCATCTTGGAGCAAGGCAAAATCTGCACACAAAATAGCCTCTTCCATCGGAAGCTCTGTGAGCTATCGTCACCATGCTTACATTAGATCTCTAGAACATTTTCATCCTGCATAACCAAACTTTGTAGCCTTTGACCAACGTGTCCTCATTTCCCACACTCAAAACCCGCCTGACTATAGTGTAAAAAGACTGTATTACACACCTGAAATTTGCTAACAGGATACGTCTTACATATTCTCACCACATAAAAAAAAATGAAGACAAAAATGATAACCCTGTGAGGGGAGAGACACTTTCTTGTTAGCTCGATTGTGGTAATTATTTCACATACATCAAAACATCATATTCCACCCACCAAATATGTACAATTTGTATATGTCCATAAAGCTTGAAAGTATTTGTTACGATCATTGTCATTCTCTCCTTTTGTTTTAATAATAAAGACATTTAATGTTTCACTTCACAATAAGTTTTGAGGCAGGTAGTGCCAGTGTTGTCCCAGCAACCTAGTGACACTGGGGTTGTGGGTTGTGGGGTTCGGCGGAGGTATTCCTGGGATTCTCTAGGCCTCATATCTTTTTATAATCAATGTTATTTTGTTTATTTTAAGTTCCAGGGTACATGTCCAGGACGTGCAGGTTTGCCACATAAGTAAACTTGTGCCCTGGTGGTTTGCTGCACCTACAAACCCATCACCACACGGCCTGTGGCCCCTTGGCTTTGGATAATTTCTCCCATTTGGAATGGAAACATTCACCCAGTGCCTATATCCCCATTGTATCTTGGAAGTAGCTAACTTGTTTTTAATTTTACAGGCTTATACGGGGAAGAGACTTGCCTTGTCTTAGATGAGACTTTGGACTTGGACTTGTGAATTCATGCTGGAATGAGCTAAGACTTTGGGAACTGTTGGGAAGGCATGATTGGTTTTGAAATGTGAGAAGGTCACGAGATTTGGGAGGGGCCAGGGGCAAAATGATATGATTTGGCTATGTCCCCTCCCAAATCTCATCTCGAATTGCAGTTTCCATGTATTGGAGGGGGGCCCAGTGAGAGATGATTGGATCATGGGGGCAGATTTCTCACTTGCTGTTCTCATGATCATGAGTTCTCACAAGAGCTGGTGGTTTGAAAGTGTGACACGTCTCCCCTGGTTCTCTCTTTATCCTGCAGCCATGAGAAGAAGGTCCCCGCTTCCCCTTCAACATCCGCCATGATTGTAAGTTTCCTGAGGCCTCCCAGTCATGCTTCCTGTTAAGTCTGTGGAACTGTGAGTCAATTAAACCTCTCTTCTTCATAAATTACCCAGTCTCAGGTAGTTCTTTATGGCAGTGTAAAAATTATCTTATACACCAAGTTCTTTTTTTTTTTTGAAAGGTGTCTCGTGGCTGGATCTGGCAGCCTCCCGAGTAGCTGGGATTACAGGTTTGCACCACCATGCCCAGCTAATTTTTTGTATCATTAGTAGACACGGGGTTTCGCCATGTTGTGCAGGCTGGTGTCGAACTCCTGACCTCAGGCAATCCACCTGCCTCGGCCTCCCGAAGTGCTGTGTTTACAGGCCAATGTTCTACTACCTAGATACAAGTACCACAGGTCTTTGTGGTTTTCACTGTTAATCTGTGTCATTAAAAGTGATCACACATATCAGCTCTACTTTCTACTGTTTTGTCCATTTCAATCACTGTCAAAAGGATGGAGTTTAAAGATATATCATTACTCAGCTCTTCGTTTTGGAAGATAAGCAATTACTGCCGTTCACTTAACAATAATATAAACATGCAGAAATATCATAGTATTTTCTTTGGTATGAAGAATAGAGAAGAAATTTGTTTGTGTTCTCTAGGAACAAATTTCTGGGATGATGGCAGTGGAGTCATCAGACACCTGGCTGAGGAGGAGTTTGGATATGAGCAGAGGCAGGAGCCATCGCATGGAAGATCTCGCGAGAGGACGGGTCTTCCGCGTGCCTTGAAGATCTCGGGAGAGGACGGGTCTCTTGAGTTGGGTGAAGATCTCGCGATAGGAGGGAATCTCATGCTAGGGGTGCAGATTTCGCGAGAGGACGGGTCTCCTGCATGGGGTGATGATCTCGCGAGAGGACCTGTCTCCTACGTGGGGTGAAGATCTCGGGAGAGGCCGGATCTCCCGCGCGGGGCGAAGATCTCGGGAGAGGACGGGTCTCCTGCGCAGGGTGAAGATCTCACGAGAGGATGGGTCTCCTGTGTGGGGGGAAGAGCCACACACAGAGAAGCCCAGGACCCTGTGCATAGAGCAACAGCTTTCAGATGATGAGCTTTGGTTAGAATAGTTTCCTAAAATTTGAGTCTATGGGATATTTTGCAAGTTGTGGTTGACATCGATATCATCAGACAAGTGTCCTTCGCTGACAGTACCAAAAGCCCTCTAAGTAATGTGTGAAAAGCAATTTCCTTACTCTTCACTTGCAGATTAACGGAGGCATTCATCAATGCACAGAGGCAAAACCAGTGTCCTCAGAGTATCCAGACCCTGAAAGCTGAAAGAAGGAATGAAAAACCTGCCTCTGGAAGTGGCATTGGCAAGGTATGACCACAAGGAAAGCAGCATGAGATGCTCCTTCCCTGCTTCGACCATGCTGAGACCTGACTCATTGCTGGACTAGAGAAAATCAAGGTGGGTGTTGGAAGATGGGAACACTCTAGCGATTGCGAGTGAGTAGCTGCTTCCTTGGTCCTAGAAAGCTTAGGACTGTTTTTTTGTTTTTGTTTTTGTTTTTTTTTGAGACGGAGTCTCACTCTGTCCCCCAGGCTGGAGTGCAGTGGCGCGATCTCGGCTCACTGCAAGCTCCGCCTCCCGGGTTCACACCATTCTCCTGCCTCAGCCTTCTGAGTAGCTGGGACTACAGGCGCCCACCACCACGCCCGGCAAATTTGTGTGTGTGAGTGTGTGTGTGTGTATTTTTAGTAGAGACGGGGTTTCACAGTGTAGGACTCTTTGACATTCATGTTTCTCAGTGTTTCACCCAAATAACCCACGCTAAGGAGCAAGATCCAATATTCTCCATAGCAGAATAATTATTTTATCATAGGAATATTTACATTTGTTTTATGCCCTTATTTACATTCTCTGGATGAATACGAGAGATGTTAACAAAGAATCACTCCAGATCAAAACATCCATAATTGTATTGACCAGTATTAAACAGTGAAGAGAGAAAACACAATTCCTTGCCAAGATCAATTGATTGAGAGTCTTGTCTTCAGCTTTGGTTTCTCCAAGAATTTTCAGCACCTACCCTCCCAGAGTATCTTGTTTTCTCAACTGGACTGCTCATTTCTATCATTACTTTTGAAACAAGGTCCAAAAGGTGAACAAGATAAGAGCTACTTTCACGTAGGTCAGAGGGGTGAACGGCATCAGAGGCTTCAGAAAATCTGAGGCCGAGGGATGATAAAAGTCCAACTAAATATTTGCAATGACCTAACTAACTTAGTATCTGCCTCATGCACTTCCGTTTCTCGATTAAACCAATTACTTAAACATGAAAAATTAATGCAAAATAATGTCAAGGTTTTATTTGAAATGATTAATTAAAAACACACATCTTTAATGGGAATCTGAATGTTAGCAAGCACGGGTGAAAAGGCCTTTGTGTTGAAGCCAGCGTGGAATTCCTGAGCTGATCCATAGGAGGGCATATGCTCAGGTTACCCATCTGGGTGAATCAAGCTTCCTGTTGCTTTACGTTATTCTAGACACCCCATTCTCCCAATCCTCCAATACTTGTGAGCTCTCCATGCTGAAAACAGTGTGAAGGTCCTATTAGTTTGGACACAGGCTTCACCCTGTGTGTCTAGAATTCTTGATCCACATCCACCCATAGAATAAAGGGACCGTTTATATCTCTGCCATGAATAGATTTCCCTGCCTGCTTCAAACCTGTCGACACAACCCAAGGGCAAGCTTTTCATTTGCAGTGATTCAATTCTCACCTGAGAAGATCTGTGAAATTGAGGCTTTGCCCAGGAGAGGTGGCTGCTTCCAGCCCTGGCCCATTGAACCCAACGCATTATGTTCATCCTTCATTTTTCCTTCTGACTGCCTGGAATAGGGACAATGACAGTGACCATGACAGGGGATGTGGGTGATGACCTCCAAAGTCTATCTCCTATCATCAAAATTCTGGCCTCACTTCTGGAGCCTCTGGAGAGGTTGACAGGCTGGCACTTCCACATGCAAACCTTTCTGTGTGTCTCCTATCTGAGCTGAAGATTCCTCATCTCTGATTCCACCTTTCCTTCACGGCAGGGCTGGAATATGTGGTATTCTCATCTGTACATAAATAGACACAATGGTTTATAACCCTTACTCGAAGCATACGTTCATTCAGATACTTCACTCCAAGTTTTAGATAAATATTATTACTTTATAAATACCCACGTACACTCAGGACAGTATGTTGTCTTATTTACAGCAAAAGAAATGGATCCTTCACATTTCCCTCACCCCAGGACTTTTGCACGTGCTCTTCTCTCTATCTCAACTTCCATCCCTCTCCCCACACCTCATATCACTGTTGAGTGCAAATATCACCAGCTCCAAGATTTCTTTCCTTACCACCGTAGGCAAGTAGGCTTCTGTATTAGTTTTCATGGTTTAGTTTTAACATTTTCTTTCATAAAATTTATCATTGATGTCATTTATTTCTATTTCTCCACTTTTTCATTGTTTCTCCTCCAGTTCCCACCATGAAGACACTCTTTGTGTCTACAATATACCGTAATTGTACGAAGTGAGGAGCCCCGTACTTGGCACACATTTAGTGATTAGTAACTATACGGGGAATTACCGAATGACTCAATGAAGAATGAATAAATGAATGAATGAATGATTTGGGGCCAGGAAGTGTCTCACACCTGTAATGCCAGCACTTTGGGAGGCCAAGGTGGGCAGATCACTTGACATCACGTGTTTGAAACCAGCCTGGCCAAAACCAGCTGGTGAAACCCCATCTCTACTAAAAATACAAAAATTAGCTGGGCATGATGGCGCATGCCTGTAGTCCCAGCTGCTTGGGAGGCTGAGGCAGGAGAATCACTTGAACCCAGGAGGCAGAGGTTGCAGTGAGCCAAGATCTCACCATTGCATTCCAGCCTGGATGCCAAGAGTGAAACTCTCTCTCAAAAAAAAATTAAATTAAAAAAATACAAAAATTAGCCAGGTGTGGTGGTGCACACCTGTAGTCCCAGCTACTCGGGAGGCTGAGGCATGAGAATCACTTGAACCCAGGATGTGCAGGTTGCAGTGAGAGAAGATCGCTCCACAGATCTGGGTGACAGAGCAAGACTCTGTCTCAAAAAAAAAAAAAAGGTGGGGGGGATGTGGAAGGATTCTTTCCTAGAACCTACAGAGTGGGCATGGCCTCCTTGACACCTTACTTGCAAACTTCTACTTCCCAGGATTATAAGTGAATTGATTTTGTGGTGTTAAGCCACGCAGATTGCAGGACTTTGTTAGGACAGCCCCAGGAAGCTAACACAGGTGGCAAAGCATTGTGGTCACAAGACTGGGTTCTGACCTCTGCCAGCCTGGGCTCATTCCAGGATCTGCGGCCTGTTTGCTCCGTGACTCTCAGCCTGCTGCACAAGCTGTGAAGCTCAACCTCCTCATCCTGTAAGCGTGGGTGATATTAGTCACTTCCTAAGGAGGCTTATGTGAAGACGTCACTATTTATTCCATTTAAAACTTCATAAAACTGCATGCCACTTTGTTAAGTAAAGATAATCCAACACAATCAACATGCTATTTTCATTCATACACATTCATACACTCAGTTACCAAGTCTGAGTCCCTGCAGTGCAGTGAACGGACTAGGTATACACAGGGTCTGTGCAGGGACACAGTCCATGTCCAGTATGACGACTGAAGCAGAGAGTGGCGAAGTGGGCTTTGGAGGCCCCCAGATCTGCAACCATCACCTCCAGGGGCACTTTCTGTCTGATGCATCTGGAATACCTGGCGTGTGTTGGGTGCATGCAGCTCTGGGATCTCGAGGTGCCTGGTATATGCTGTGTGCAATCCCCCAATTGCTTATGTCTCTGTGCAGGGCTGGCTTCACTGTCCAGGAGCCGTGCCATCAGAGTTCCAAGCTGAGTTTAATGCCCTCGTGTTGACATCTTGATGTTTGAACATGGGGCCCTCTATTTTCATTTTGCATGGGGTCCAGTGGATTATATAGTCAATGCTGCAGGTATGATTTTGCTTTAGGATTTGTCAGGCTGATCTGAGTTTGTGATCTCTGTGTGCGTCTCACCTGGGCAAAATGGACAAGGAGGAAATCCCTGAGCCAGGAAACTGAGAGCAGAGCTGAATATCCCAGAATTCAAGGGGGAAAGCAGCAGGAGAGGTTGCTGGCTTGATATACGACAGATTTTAAGTGTGCATTTGAATACTGAATACATCATCAACTCTTCCCTCTGTGTCTGTCCATTTATAGTCCATCCATGCTTCCATCCATTCTGCCAGCATATGTCTATAAATGTCAACCTTATTTCATACAATTAACCAAGAATGAAAAATAAAGCATACGCTTCACTGACATGGATCCTGTCCTGTGAGCCCTGCTAGTCTAGGGGATGTGATAGATGTCTAGAAATAACTACAAAACAGGTAACTACGCACTATGACATTCGTATGTGGAATCATTCCTTGGCTGTGGGTGATTAGAAAATAGACTGGCATAGCTCTTCTGTTGCGGAAAGGGAGTCATGAGGAAGTGATGTTTGAGGACACAGGTGAGTGGTCAGGAGGAGGCACTGAGGACACAGGTGAGAGGTCAGGAGGAGGCACTGAAGACACAGGTGAGAGGTCAGGAGGATGCACTGAGGACACAGGTGAGAGGTCAGGAGGAGGCATTGAGGACACAGGTGAGAGGTCAGGAGGAGGCATTGTCTATGTTTGCGAATCTCTCTCAATATCTGTTTCACATTCTCTGTCACTGTCTAACTTGTTTTCTCTTTAACTATCACAAGTTCTCTGTTTCTCCCCCTTTCCTTCATCCCCTCCTCTGGCCCTCTAATAAGTTACTTGGTGTTTCTATGTTCTGGTATTTTTCTTCCTCTACTGGCGGTTTGATCAACAACCACATCACCCTGGGGAGTTTCCTGGGCACCAAAAGACCATGAATGGTCCAGCCACACTCACCTGTGATCACAATGTCCAGGGGGTCACTGGGAGCCGACCACTCATAGCAGGAGTGACTGAAACAGCCACAGCACCTATAGGCTTCTGCACGGGCAGGCGTTATAGGACCCATGGAAAAGACAGCCTTGAAGGAGTGATCCCCAGCCTGGATCATCCTACCATACTGCTGGGAATGTTGTGTGTGCCCCTCTTTGTATAAGATAAATTCATCAAAGGCCAGCTCTGAGTGACAGCGCAGGCTCACGCTGGCTCTTGCGTGCACCAGGGGGCTTGGGTGCGCTGAGATGCAGGGTTTTGTGAACAAGCCTGAGAGCAGAGACAGAGGAGTTCACATGAGTCTCCTTCCTCACCCCTCGCCTGAGACCTCAGGGTGAAGCTGTCCCTCGTCACCCCCAAAGCCCGTCTGCGTCCTTCCTGTTTGTGTGCGTGCATGTTCTCTCTGCGTGGATTCCCATTGTCTGGCTTGAAGCCATATGAAATGTGTGGTTCTCCTGGAAAATGGGAATTAGTCTGTGCTTTGAGAACTTTCAGAAAACACACTGTAGTGAGGAGGTAGAAATGAATCAGAGGTTTTGAAAGAGAAGAATGAAGAGAAGGTGCTGCTAATTATAGAACAAAGGAAGTCAGATGAAGGAAGTGTTTGGGAGGAACAAAACCACACACTCGGGCTTGGAGGGAGGCTCTGCTTTCTCTGAGGCCAGTTATCCATCTTATCAACACCTCCCCTGCCTGCTGCTTCTCCTGGGGTCATCCATCCCGAGACAGCCCCATCGGCTCCTCCAGTGAACCAAGGCAGAGACTGGAGCAACTCTCAGTTCCTCACGCTCTTCTGCTCCCCACACCGTGAACAAATCCAAACAGCTCTTTCCCCGAGTCCCTCCTCACCCACGTCCCCTGACCCATCCCCACAGTCCAAGCTCAGCTGGAGACTGAAGACATCGTGTCTCTGTCACCACATCAGCCTCCTCCCAGCCCCCTACTCCAGACCCTCACTGCTGCTGATGTCTATTAATTCTCATAGCCCCAAACTTTCCTGTTTCTGGCCCTGATCAAAATCCTTCCACAGGTCTGCATCTTCATCCAAATAAGACACAAGCCTTCCTGTTTGACATTCGTATTGCTGATGATCAGGACTGAGCTAAACTCTACAGCCCCAGAAAACACAGCTCTTCCCTACAGAGCAAACTCAGCACAGAAAACCACCTGGCCCTCCCCAGACACACACACACACCCTGAGATATTAACACATTTGTAGGCCAGGCGCAGTGGCTCACGCCTGTAATCCCAGGACTTTGGGAGGCCAAGGTGGGTGGATCACAAGGTCAGGAGTTGGAGACCAGCCTGGCCAATATGGTGAAACCCTGTCTCTACTAAAAAAATAAATAAAGAAATACAAAAATTAGCAGGGTGTGGTGGTGGGTGACTGTAATCCCAGCTACTCGGGAGGCTGAGGCAGGAGAATCACTTGAACCCGGGAGTTGGAGGCTGCAGTGAGCCGAGATTGCGCCATTGCACTCCAACCTGGGCGACAGGGCAAGACTCTGTCTCAAATATATATATAATGACAAAAGTATTGGCAAGGAGTGGCAGGTGTATACCATAGATGTTTGGGTAGGAGAAATCCTGACTTGTTGAGAATCATCCTTTTCTACCCTATCCCCATCCCTTGTACTCTTTTCCTTTTTCTCTTCTCCGTTGATGCTTTTGGTAGTGTTTCCATTTCTGTCCAACAGCTTTGTGACTCTTCCCTTAGGCAAGAACCTATAGAGTTCCCTACAGGACTTTTCTACTCGCCGTGTCCACAATGAAAGTCAATATTGCTGCTACCCTCTCCCCAGGTCTGCAGTGCCTTTTGGGTATCCCATCCTGGAAATCAGTTTACCATTCCCACAGTCATCTTCTTATTTTATTTTATTTTTTTGAGATGGAGTCTCTCTCTATTGCAGGCTGGAGTGCAGTGGTGTGATCTCGGCTCACTGCAACCTCTGCCTCCCGGGTTCAAGCGATTCGTCTGCCTCAACCTCCTGAGTAGCTAGGGTTACAGGCACCTGCCACTATGCTTGGCTAATTTTTGTATTTTTAGTAGAGATGGAGTTTAGCCATGTTGGCCAGGCTGTTCTCGAACTCCTGACCTCAGGTGATCCACCCACCTCAGTCTCTCAAAGTGCTGGGATTACAGACGTGAGCCACTATGCCCAGCCAAATCTCCCTCTCTTTTAAAAATTTATCTGGCCAGGCACCATGGCTCACACCTGTAACCCCAGCACTTTGGGAGGCCAAGGCAGGCAGATCACGAGGTCAGGAGATCGAGACCATCCTGGCCAACATGGTGAAACCCCATCTCTACTAAAAATACAAAAATTAGCTGGGCCTTGTGGTGCATGACTGTAATCCCAGCTACTCCAGAAGCTGAGGCAGGAGAATCACTTGAACCCGGGAGGTGGAGGTTGCAGTGAGCCAAGATCACACCATGGCACTCCAGCCTGGGCGACAAAGCGAGACTTCATCTCAGAAAAAAAAACAAAAAACAAAAACAACAACAAAAAACATGATCCACGTTTAATTGCTTTCTTTCCCTGAACACTCCTGGAGGTTTCTCCTATTGCCCCAGTGCGCAGCCCTTCCATGGTCAACAATGAAAATTTTAATTTAACCTATTTGGCTCAACCCCTCACTCCAGCAATTGAGAATAATTCTCCTCCTAAATCTTTCCCCTTGTTTGAGCCTGTAGCTTCTCATAGCTACTGATGCTTCCGAATACACTGCTCTCTCATTTGAGGATGCTCTCTACTCTTTCCTTCCCCTCTTTTCCTCTCTGGATCAATTGTCTATATTTTTGGTACCATCTGAGGGGTTTTCATGGCCAAGGGGCTTTCCTTCACTCCTTAGGAAAAGATAAATTGGTATCTCTTTTGCGTTTCAGCAGCGCCTAAGCTTCTGGTAGCAGAGTCTTATCAGTGCATTGCAGATTTCTCTGTCAGAGTCTGTCAGGGGCAGGAGCTGAGTCTGACTCATTTCCACATCACCTGTTTCCTATACAGGATGTGGCACATCAGAGTCCCGAGTCCCAGGAGATGTTGCTGAGTAAATATTTGAAAAAAACAAATGCCGGCATCCGTCCAGGCTAAGTCTGTAAGCTTGAGATGGGGAGCCCAGAACTTTGGAAAGTAAATCAGGGAATATGTCAGATGTCCAAGGACCTTCAAGAAAATGTTAACAATGATTCATAAAAACAGGTATTATTACTGAGCAAAGTTTATCAGGCTCTGTGTAGCCACAAAACTATGATAATATTATCATCGTTTTTAGAGTAACATTATAGTAGTGATCACAATAGCCCACATTATTGAGTGAGTCTAACAACATGTTCAGAGTTTACTTTGCACGTCACATGCAGTAACTATGTGTTCTCCACCAAAACTCTATATAAGGTAGGTACTGGCATTGCCCTCATTTTATAAATGACAAAATTGAGTCAAGTGGGTAATTTTCCTAAATCTCATAGTTTTCAGAGACAAAGCAATGATCATATCCCAGCCTTCCTGGCTCCGGAGCCTTCCCTCCTAGCTAAACAGAGAGGCAGAATATAATAATCCCCGATCATCCGTCTTCCAAACATGCTTACAAAGCAGACAGCATTATTAGTGCCATTTTATGGAAAAGCAAAGTGAGTCTTAGACAGGTAATGTGACTCTCCCAAGCACATAAAGATAGCAAGGTCAGATTCAGGTTTTGAAAGCAGTTTGGTGTGATTTAAAGCCTGTTGTCGTTTGGCCATTACCCAATAGCTGGTATCTTGAAAGTCCGGGAAGAGATATTCTCAGCTAGATTGGAGAGAACCAACTCTTTCTGACACCCTGGATTATTCTAGTTGTCCTGATGAGTGTGGGAGCCCACATTCTGAGCTTTTTTTTAATGTATATACTTTAAGGTCTAGTGTACATGTGCACAATGTGCAGGTTTGTTACATATGTATACATGTGCCATGTTGGTGTGCTGCACCCATTAACTCGTCATTTACACTAGGTATATCTCCTAATGCTGTCCCTCCCCCTCCCCCACCCCCGACCCCACAACAGGCCATTCTACTTGCTTGCAGAATCCATGGAATGTAAGGGTTATTTTTTTTCCAAAAACATCGCCTTAACAACTGGCATCCTCTTTTTCCAATTTACCCTAATGCCTGAATATTGCCCTGAAAAAAAAGTTACTGATTAGATTTTTCCAGGAAGACTCTATTTCAGAGTCCCAAGATAGGGACTCAGCATATGCAAATGATCAACTAAGAGACGACAATGGAGAAAGCTGTGTGGCTTCCTGGACGCTGGCCATGGTGCTGAAACTACAGACAGGCGCCAGCATCCCAGTCAGTACTGTAAACAGTAACCGCAAGAACCACTCTCCTTGGACTGCATCCAGACAGGGGAAATAGGAATGGTGTCTAGATATAGGGCCAGATATATTGGGAACATTTGGAATAGGAGTCAGAATTTAGCAAGAGGTGGAGAAGCTCAAGGTGTAGATGATGTTCATATGAACTATGGAATCTTGACATCTGGATAAGGCCATTTTTTTTTCTACTGTACACCATCGTGGGCAGAGAGGAAGCAAAAAGGGAATCACTCTGGCCTTGCCTTGGTAATAGAAAATAGTGTTTTGTTTTGTTTTTTTTTTTTGAGATGGAGTCTCACTCTGTCACGCAGGCTGGAGTGCAATGGCATGATCTCGGCTCACTGCAACCTCCGCCTCCCTGGTTCAAGTGATTTTCCTGCCTCAGCCTCCTGAGTAGATGGGATTACAGGCTCACGCCACCATGCCCGGCTAATTTTTGTATTTTTAGTGAAGACAGAGTTTCACCATGTTAGTCAGGCTTGTCTCAAACTCCTAACCTTGTGATCCTCCCGCTTCAGCCTCCCAAAGTGCTGGGATTACAGGCATGAGCCACCGCGCCTGTCCGAAAATAGTGTCTTATTTCAATGCACTGTGTGTATAAATTATGAGCATGATAAGATTCTACTCATATTGGGACTTTGCTACTTGCTCTACAAATACTATATCATTACTTTTTATTGTAATAAAGTACGCAAACATAAAACTAACCATTAACTATGTAAAAGTGTACAAATCAGTGGAATTTGGTGCATTCATAATCTTCTTCAACCATCACCTCTATTTAGTTCCAAGTAATCTACAACACCTTAAAAAAAAAAAGGCCACACACTTCAGAGAAAACAGAGCCAATACTGTGTGTGTATGTGTGTGTGTGTGTGTGTGTGTGTGTGTCCCTCTCTCACTGGGAGAAGATATTCTCCGCTAGATTGGAAAAGACCAACTCTTTCTGAAACCCTGGATTACTCTAGTGGTTGTTTTGCTGAGAGTGGTTTGTGCAGACGTCGGTCGGCAGAACTTCTTGGACTTCAGAGTCTACACACACCCATTTAGGTCTTGGATGGTGGTGAATTCTCACCTAGGACCCTGATTCATCTCTCTTGTCAAGACACAGCACAAAACACGTAACTAAGGAAGGGTGGTCTCCTAGCCCCCATCCGTAATGAGTCTTCCCATCATCTCCTGTATAGTCAGGAAGTCTGCACCTCCCTCCCAAGCCACTGAGGAACTGGGGGCTTTCTGCATTTCCTTGTCTTTTTAGAGCTTCTCTTGTAGCTCTAAAGCCCTTTACATTTCAGTGGATTCTCATGCTTCTCATATCTTCTGTCTCTTAGGGCACAGTCCTTCCAGGTAGTTAAAAGCATCTGTCAGATTCCGAAATCTCCAGTCACTGCCAGCCTCATCTGAAATCCCAAGTCACCTGCTCACAGGATGGAGGAAGCGGAGGACTCTGCTCTGTCCTGGGGTTCCTGAGGCCTGCAGTGATGTTCCATGCAAAGGGCCATCCCCAAGAGGATAGGATGGACCAAGAATTAGGAACATGCAGAGAAGGGCTTGAGACTTTTTAGGGTCACAGGTGAGAGTGACTGGCAGAGGCCATGGGTACGAGAGGTCTCCCAGCAGAGCTGGGGTCCTAGGGGAAGACACTCCCTTCTGGTTCTTGGGGTCAGCAAGGTGTAGTCTGATAGAGATGGAGGACAGGTTCTCACTGTTGGCTGTGGTGTCCTCCTGGGAACAGGTGGGCTAAGCCTCTCCAAGGGCACAGACCTGTGGGTTTCCCCAGACCTCACTCTCAAGCCCAGGAGAGACCCAGCCCCAGTGGTCACATTTCTTCAAGAAGAAGAGAATGAAGCTCTTGGGTCTGTGATCCCTCCATGAAGCAAGGCCCATGAGCTTTGTGATTCTTGGTCTAAACCCTCCTCCCCAACACCTGCCCAGGCTCTACGTTCTCCCTTCAGATAGACGATCTCCTTGACCATGCTCGACTCAGGCTCCTCTGAGCTCTTTTCCAACGAGCCCTGACCTCTGGGCTTCCATGTTTATCTCTGCTTTGCCCAATTTTAGTAAGAATTGCAACTCTTTTCCAATTCTTACTTAAGAAAGAATCCTGCAGAGTCAGTTTAACTCTAGATATCTGATCACCCTTAATCAGATGGTTCACAGGTAAGAACCTTCATTCTCCATCAGCCTCAGGTGATGTCTGGCCGCCTTGGCCTGCCTTCAGCAAGAATCCTGCTGGGTCGGTTTAGCCAGGGTCTTCTTAACCCCTGAGGACTTCTCTTAGCAATTTTCCACTGACTGACCCCGCTCACCCTGCTCCAAGGCTACAAATTCCCACTTTTCCTGTTCTACTCAGAGTTGAGCCCAGTCTCTTTCCCACACTGTGCAATTCCATCACCATGGTCCCTGTACCTACAGCAATAGTCCTGAATAATGTCCTCCTTATTGTGCCTCAACAAGTGACACTGGATTTTTTTTTTCTTCAACACCCTGCCCAGCTGGTCCAACGGTCTGAGAAAGGGAAGTCCAGACACCTGGCCTCTGCTCTGGACAGAAGCCGAGAAGTGGTCTGCAGATCAGGATGCCATGACTGCCACTCTGGGCATCTCTCACACGCTCAGCGTGTCTCAGTTCCATGGTGGGAACCACTGTCCTCAGGAAAAGCTGTTTTCTTTCTGTGTGAAAGTAACCACCCGAATCCCCAAGGAAACAGGAAGAAAAGGTCGGCAACAAAATACCTATTAAAATTCTCCACATTTTGGCCAGGCACAGTGACTCTCGCCTGTAATCCTAGCACTTTGGGAGGCCAAGGTGGGGCAGATCACTTGAGGTCAGGAGTTCGAGACCAGCCTGGTCAACAGGATGAAACCCCATCTCTACTAAAAATACAAAAATTAGCCAGGTGTGGTGACACATGCCTGTAATCCCAGCTACTCTACTCAGGAGGCTGAGGCAGGAGAATCGCTTGAACCTGGGAGGTGGAGGTTGCAATGAGCCAAGATCATGTCACTGCACTCCAGCCTGGGTGACAGAGCAAGACTCCGTCTCAAAAAAAAAAAAAAAAAAAAAAAAAAAAAAAAAAAAAAAAAACCACATGCAAAGAAACTGAAGCACAGTCCATACATAGCGCCACTGACTCCCTATCAAATGTGAAACATTTTAAGTGACGTTTCTCCACATGGAAAAGCCTGGTGGAGAGAGAAAGGGACAGGGCATGTTATCACACAAACCAAGCATTTTTCAGGAGGGTGTGCAGTGTGGGATGTGCTACAAACTGAGGGCTCATTGCGGACGTGCAACAGAAGGAGGGATGCTTCTGGTGAATTTTTAACAGAACAAGCAGTTTATAAAAGGGCCCGTAAAATATTGACCCTGTTGAGGGGGGAAGCCTGTTATATATGCATGATAAAACAGAGAAAAATAAAAATAGTCAACGTTTACCTGGCATTTTCGATGGAACAGACTCTGGTTTATTTCACTGAAGCATCATCAAAAATCCAATGAATTACATTTCTTTCCTTAGGTAGTTAATACCTGAGGAGTTAAATAGCATTGCACGCCAGTGAGGATTCCATCCGTGTATGTGTTGGTGTGGCTTCGCGTGTGTGTGTGCAACAGATCAGCGTGCACTCAGTTCAACAGAAGAAATACGTCTTCTATGGAGCTGGATGCAGTGGCTCACGCCTGTAATCCCAGCACTTTGGGAGGGGAGGATCACGAGGTCAGGAGATCGAGACCATCCTGGCTAACACAGTGAAACCCTGTCTCTACTAAAGATACAAAAAAATTAGCTGGGCGTGGTGGTGGGTGCCTGTAGTCCCAGCTACTCGGGAGGCTGAGGCAGGAGAATGGTGGGAACCTGGGAGCGGAGCTTGCAGTGAGCCGAGATTGTGCCACTGCACTCCAGCCTGGGCGACAGAGCAAGACTCCGTCTCAAAAAAAAAAAAAAAAGAAAAGAAAGAAAAGAAAAAAAGAAATACGTCTTCTATCATTGATGTCACTCTTCCTCATAAGCTGCCCCTGGTGAACACGCACACACTCCCTGGAGTTTAAACTCAGCCCTTCACAATCATTTTTCACTTTCTTTAGTATGATTTCCCCTTCCCACTTTCCCTCTCTCCTGAGCTCCTTCCCAGGGTAGTGCCCAATATGGAGGAAGCAGGGTTCAAAGGTGATGCTTGGGACAGTGGTTCTGTGCCCTCCTGCTGGCCTTTGGGCTTTGGGCCTGAGCTGACTGGGGTCTGTGGGGTTTGCTTACTAGATTGCCGGGGGGATCCCACTGATGTCTGTACCTGATAGCCATTTGTCCTTCCTTCCTCTCTCTGCTCCCTCAAGGCCTGGGGACCCTTCTTGTTGACTCAATGTCCACTTAGTCCCAGGGATTCAGGGACATTTGTGAGTATCTGCTGCTGCCCCATCTGGCCCAAGTGAGGCCTCCCCTCCCCTCCATGTTGGGCCCCACTGCAGCCCCCTGATGTTCACCCCCAGGACACTCCTCAGGGGAATTAGGGTGCGGTCATGATCACAGGGTGGGCCTTCCCTCTCTGCCTGGCCACACTGCACCACCGGGTGTGTTAAACGTGGCTCCTCCTCCAGGTGGGCTTGGGGGCGGTGGAGCAGGAGGGACATCCTCTCCATACAGCAGTGTCCCCAGACCCATCGCGCTGAGTCCCAGCCCCTGCATTGGGCGGGTTGGAGGATCCAGAAGAAAAGATGAGTCGCTGCCTCTGCTTTTCTGTCCTCTGCCTGGACCCATCCTCTTTCCACCAATCCCCACAAAAGAACAGTTGGGTGCTTTTGTTTAATTTCCCCTAAACCATGACTGTCCTGCTTTTCACTGTGGCCTGGCTGCCTGCACATCCTGGACTTCCTTACACTGGAGCAGGTACGGGGGTCGGCTCAGCCCTCCTGTGCTCTGCAAGGGGTAGAAAAATTCACACAGCCTCCTCTGCTAAGGTCAAGCTGCCACCCTTTGCTGAAGGCCTCATTTACCCACCTGTCCACCTCAGGGTCCAAGCCAAACAAACAAGACGTGATGGGAGAAGACACTGCGCTAATAGTTGAAAAACAACCAGAGAGAAGAAAGACAGAGATACAGAGATGCAGAGACACGCACACCACACACACACACAGAGAGAGCAGGGAGAATGTGTCCCACATAAAGAACAGAGAAAATCAGTCATCATGTAACAGAAGAAGGCAAAAATAAAGAGCACAGGTCTAGGAAACAGATCCTGGAAGGAAATTAAACTTGAGCACAAATAGAAAATTAAAGCTCGGCCGGGCGCGGTGGCTCACGCTTGTAATCCCAGCAGTTTGGGAGGCCGAGGCGGGCGGATCACGAGGTCAGGAGATTGAGAACACGTTGAAACCCCGTCTCTACTAAAAATACAAAAATTAGCCGGGCGTGGGGGCGGGCGCCTGTGGTCCCAGCTACTCGGGAGGCTGAGGCAGGAGAATGGCGTGAACCCGGGAGGCGGAGCTTGCAGTGAGCCGAGATTGCGCCACTGCACTCCAGCCTGGGTGACAGAGCGAGACTCCGTCTCAAAAAAAAAAAAAAAAGAAAAGAAAAGAAAATTAAAGCCCAGTACAAATTAAAATTTGAGAGTATGGCAGGGCAGAAACCTCCCAGCGCGGTGAGCTGCAGCCTGTCCTGGAGTTCAGGCAGCCCCTGCCCCTGAGACCTGGCTAACCTTGGAGAGGTTGCTCCATGTCTCAGTCGATAGTTTCTCCGAGGAAAGGGGGGAAAATAATAAGGCACGCTGAGGACAGTGTGTACAAGGACTTAATGTGTCGATATTTGCATAGAACTAAATTAGCAATTGCCCCATAGAAAGAACTGGCTGAGCTCTTGTTGAAGTTTTAAAAATTATATATATCGGCCAGGCGCGGTGGCTCACGCCTGTAATCCCAGCACTCTGGGAGGCTGACGCGGGCGGATCACCTGAGGTCAGGAGTTCCAGACCAGCCTGGCCAACATAGTGGAACCCCGTCTCTACTAAAAATACAAAAATTAGCCCGACGTGGTGGCGCGTGCCTGTAGTCCCAGCTGCTCGGCAGGCTGAGGCAAGAGAATCGCTTGAACCCGGGAGGTGGAGGTTGCAGCGAGCCGAGATCCCAGGCATCTGGCGCATTGCAGGCCGCCCGTCATCTCCTCCAACCTTCACCCTCCTCTGCACAGTGCACGCCACTACCCAATTCCCAGGTGGCTAAATGCGGTCCTGAGGGGCTCCCCCAAACCCAGGGTCCGAGCCAAGCGTCCCTCTTCCAGGAACAGCGTCCCTCCCCTCCCCCACTGCCGAGGCAGCATCTTCAATATCCTTCAAGAAAGGCAGACATTCTCTCTTGGAATGTCCTTCCCTCCTGCCTCCTCCACGGTCCAAGGTCCAGGACACCACCCGTTATTCTACACCATGACTTCCTGGGCTTGGTCTTCATAACATTTGCCACCATTTAAAATTACATATGTATTATATATGTGCAATATTACAGTTTTTATATTATTTATAGTTATATGTATCATGTATTATGCAAACGTATAATATATAACAAATATATATTAAATTATGTAATCTTGACATATACATCATAATTTAATGTATATAATGTTAATTGTATATGATTTATACTTATAATATATGTTGCATATATTCACTATAATATATAATGTATAATGTATATTACATATAAACATATAATTAAATATAAAATTTTTCTATTATAATTATAATCTATAAATAATAGATAATATATATTTATGTTTGTACCTGTTTATTAATTATAATAACACCTGAAATTTATTGTACTATATATTGTAAATAAATCTTTCATATAATATAATTATAGTGATATGTGGTGATATGTTAACATATTTTTATTATATAATTATGTTCCTTATATATGTAATACATTACGTGAACATATTTAATATAATTGAAATGATAGGTCTGAAATTCTCCATTGCGAATCGTATCTTTTTATTTGTATATGTATGTATAGGCATCTGTGCATTTCTATTGCTCATTCTAATTATTTCTCCCCATTGAAGTTCACAAGACGGGAGGCCATTTCTCCTCATTCTTGGTGCATCAAATCCGGAGGCTTCAGTGCCTGGCACAGTCCCTGTGAGGACAAAATACTTCCTCAGTATTAATAGGAGCATCCCTCCTTTGGGGTTTTCTAATCAGCACTGATGTCAGCGCCGTGTGTACCTGAACTCAAGTCTGCCCTAAACGATTCTACCAGGACAGCTCTTCTATTGCCTCTGTTTCACATGAGGAATTTGGGACACAGGAGGTTTGGGTGAGTCACCGTCCGGCATAGAGCCAGGGGGTGGCAGAACCACCGGGATTTGAACCATGAACCCAGCAATCTGGCTGCAGGAGGGTCTGCCCTCGTGACCTTTATATGTCACTGCATGAAGGTGAGAGAAGAGAGAAGGAAGGAGAAGAAGAGAGGGAGAGAAACAGAGGCAAGATATTCCCGCAGACAGAAGGCTAATAAAAACCAGACACTGGACTTGAACCAGGTCTGCGGGACTCAGGAGCATGTCCCGCTGTGCCCCAGCAGCCCAGGAGCCTCTGAGGGGGTCCGGATGGAGCACGGCATCGCTCCTCCCACCTCCCCATGTGGCTTCAGCCCCTGGTCCCACCTGCCTGAGCTCACAGCCCGAGCCTCACAGGCAGTCACCGGGTCTAGGTCCAAGGACGTACTCTGGGGATAGAAACCCAGGTGGGGAAGGGGCCGCGAATGGCTTATGACCCCGTGTCCTCCCCTGGCAGTTTCTGGTCACAGATCACAGGCGGAGATGGACAACTTGAGACCCAGGGACTTGGGGCAGCTTCACTCCCATCACACAGAGTCCAGGGGCAGAGCCAGAGGCAGCTTCTCTCCCATCACAGAGTCCAGGGCAGAGCCAGATGGAAGGGAAGCCTCATGGCTTCATCCTGGTCACCGTTCACAGCTACGTCCCCTCCCTGTGGAGCCCTCCTCCTCTTAAGGGACCTTACTCCACCGTTCAGGCCTCCCCCGGAGATCACAGAGCCAACAGGAGCAGCCCCGTCCCTCTCCGGGTGTCCCAGGTTGGAAGGTGAGTTCTAAGTCCCTCCATCAGGTGCAGAGCGGGGTGAATGGTGAGGCCACGCCCACAAGGGGGCAGCGTGGAGCTCGGGCGAGCCCGGAAGTCTGGGGTGGGGCTGCCCGGGTGGGTGGCCCCTGCCCCTTCATGGCCTTGTGCCGTTAAGCACGAAACTTTAATTTATGTTTTGCATATTAGAGAGGAGGAGGAGTTAGAGGATCAGACTAGTACCTCCCCCATTAAGTGGTGCTTGCATTAAGTGCTTTCCACAGTTCCTGGCATGGAACAAGGTTGCAATCACGGTACCATTGCTGCTATGGTCTCTGTGAGCATTAGCGACCTCCCAGAGCTTGGTGGGTGTCGGTGCCTTCCCGTGGCCTCCCTAGACCTTGACTCCAAGCCCAGGGCAGAGGGCTGGACCCGGAACAGCATCCGCAGCACAGATTCCCCTGTAATCCCCTCCAGCTGAGGGCCCTGCTACTGACCAGCTGAGGAGCCGGGCTCTGTGTCCGGGGAGTCCGGGCCTCCAGAGCTTTCTGTAAACAGGAGCAGGAGAAGGATTTAGAACCCGTCCCAACCAACCTGCCCTCCTCCACCCTGAGCCCCCATCCAAAGGCCGCATGACCATCACGCAATCCCAGACAATGTCTCGAGACTCCTGAGAAAACGGGGCAGGGGACAGGAGGCTGGGGAGAGCCCCGCTGCTTGCCCCATTCTCCCTGGGGCTGGTCACTCCCTCTGCTCCTCCCACCACAAGCTCTTCTTGACCTCAGGGGACTGCTGAGGTCCTGGGGGGACATGAAGATGGGTTGGATCCTCTCCAGTGGACTTTGACTCCAGGACATCTCGGGCTGAGCACACACAGGAGTGCATGTGGTCACATACCAAAGGTTTTCCCAAAGCACTGTCCCGCCCTGGTCAGGGGCCATCCCTGGACCCTGTGTTCTGCCCAGTGGGAGATGAACCACACCAGGAGAAGCACATTGCCTGGGGCAGGTTCTGGCTCAGTGGAAAGGAATAACAAATGGGACCATCAATCCTGTGTGAAAAGACACTCATCCCCTTGTAGGGGGGTTGCCCCCTAATCTCTGGGAACCCACTCCCCACCCAGCCAAGCAGAGCCAGCTCTGAGCCAACCCAATGCTGGGACTGAGTGTCCACGCCATCTGTGGCGTCCAGAGGAGATCAGGGCTCCAGGGACCTAAGCAGGTGTGAGGGCAGAGGGGAGGTGTGTGCAGAGGAAGAAGGGGAGGGGAGGGCTTGGGGTCAGGAAGAGGGCAACGGTGGCCACAGAGAGAGGACAGCAGCCGGGACAGGGTCCAGGGACCTCGGGACAAGCTCGAGGGTCGAGCTGAGACTGGGGCAGGGCCCAGGTGACGTCCTCACCTTTCACCAGCAGCTCCAGGAAGTCACTGTGCTCAGACCATCCAGGGGGCTTATAATAGAGGCAGCGATAAAGCCCGGCATTTCCTTCACTTACTGAGTCAATGTGGAATCTGGCCTCTGACTCAGATGGACCAAGTCGAAACACATTATAACTATCTTTGTACTTGGCTCTATCCTCCCTCTCCAGGCGGAATGTTTGAACCCCAACCGGGCCCCGGCACATGAAAGTCACATGGCTCCCCGGGGAGATCACAGTGCCTGGCTCAGCCGAGATGGAGGGTCTGGGAAGGGCCCCTAAGAGGGAAGCAAAGAAGGATCTCAGCGTCCACTGTAGGAAGTCACCATGCCACACACGTCATTTTAGGATCACAATTCAGGGATTTTAGCAATTTTATAGAGTTATGCAGCCATGACCACAGCCCAACCTTAGAACATTCCCACGCCTCCTGCACCTTCTACGTGCATGTGATTCTCATCACTGCAGAGTTTTTTCCCAGTTGACAGTGAGGACCCTGAGACTTGCTCACAACTTGGGCCTTGCTCAGGGTCACGTGGGAAGTGTCGGAGCAGCCTGGAGCCCTTCATGCCTGCTGCAGAGCCCAGGGCCACTTTCCAGAGGGACAGAGGGTGGGAGGGAGGCACAGGATGGGGATGACAGGGTCATTGGTGAAGGACAAGGGACAGGGAAGCGAGGGCTCTGGAGATGGCTCGTGCTGGGGCCTGAAGGGCACTGGCCGGTCCCCGGGTGGGACTGAGTGTGGGACGGGGGTTGCCAGGCTCCTTTGAGGGTCTGGTGGGGTGAGGGTGAAGCCCCCAGCCCTGATCTGCTCACAGCAGATGCCCAGCCCGTGACAGGTCCCCATTGCTAATGCAGATCTCTGTGGAGACACCACCTCTGGGTTTTCCTCTATAGTTTCTACTTTCTTCTCAGCCTAATTTGCATTTCCTTCTTATTAAGGCTCTTGAAAAACCCCATTTATCTCAACTGGGCTTGGGGTGGGGGAGGAAGGGCGGGTTTGACGCCCTGAAACAGGAAGGTTGTGTCAAAATTAGCAAAATCCCTGAGCGGGGCAGAGAGCTGGCAGGGCTTCAATTCACTCGTCCCGTCTTCATTCATTCCTTATTATTGACAAATTAAAACTGCATGTATTTAAGGTGTACAACATGATGTTTTGATACAGGTATACACTGTGGAATCGCTGAATCAAGCTAATTAATATAACCTCACTTTGCGTAGTTAATTGTTGTGGTGAGAACATTTAAAATCTGCCCTCTTAGCGATTTTCAAGCGTATGATATATTGTGATTAACTCTAGTCATTATGTTACACAATCCTGAACTTACTCTCCCTGTCTAGACGAAATTTTCTATCCTTTGACCAGCATCTCCCCAAACCCACCCATTTGTTCATTTTTCTTTCTTTTAACCATATCTCAGTTACTTATCAATCTGTTTAAAGACGCTTTTCATGAGCTGCTAATTCCGCAAATGTGAGAAACACATACAGGATGCCTGCCCTTTGGAGGTGGACGTCTAGAAGGGAGGACAGATATTGATCGAAGAATTGTCCAAATCTGCAGCTGCGAACTGCAATAAGTTTCCTGTGGGTAAGTGTGCAGGGATCTAGGGGACAGGTGGGCGGTGGAGCTGACCTCCTCTGCAAAGTCAGGGGAAGCTCTCTCTGAGCTGAGAGCTGAGGGAGGAGTAGAAACTCCCTGAGCTGAGCAGACAGGGGACACCAGGGCACTCAAAGTGGGAAAATTCCTCAAAGGAAACAAGGTTTTAGTTAGAGAGGAGAAATCAATTCAAGAATCATCATGTACAACACGGTGACTACAGTTAATAACAATGTATTACATTATTGGACATTGCTAATCCAGGTGATTCTAAGCGTTCTCACCACAAAAAAATGATTCGCACAGGAGGAATGCCTACGTTGCCTAGCTCGATGTAGCCATTCCTCGCTGTGTGCAGAGTCCACAACGTCATATTGGACATGACAAATACATGCAATTTTCATCGGTCAATTTTAAACTGAATTAATTAACTTTTAAAAATCAGACCAGGCGCGGTGTCTCACACCTGTAATCCCAGTACTTTGGGAGGCCGAGGTGGGCGGCTCACCTGAGGTCAGGAGTTCGAGACCAGCCTGATCAACATGGTGAATCCCCGTCTCTACTAAAAATACAAAAACATCAGCCAGGCATGGTGGCAGGCACCTGTAATCCTAGCTACCTGGGAGGTTGAGGCAGGGAGAATTGCTTCAACCAGGGAGGCAGAGGTTGCAGTAAGCCAAGACCGAGCCATTGCACTCCAGCCTGGGCAACAAGAATGAAACACCATCTCAAAAAAAAAAAAAAAAAATCAGCATGTGAGAAGAACCACCATGTTGAGCGGCATATGGAGTGTTTGAGAAAGCGAAAGAACCTGGAGGAATGTAGAGATGAGTGAGCCCCAGGTCACAGGGACAGGATGTGGCTGGGAAAATGGGCATGTCCAGAACAAAGAGAGGTGCCTGGGTTGATTCTATCTGAAGATAAACAGGGGAAGGGCTCTAAGAAAAAAACTTCATCTTACGATGAGATATTAAATGAAAATTTTTGAATGCAATTTAAAAACTGTGGAAAGTACAATGGTCATGGTTGTGCTTTTGCAAATCGCCAGTCCCTGGGGTCAGGAAGGGAGCAGGCAGCAGTGGCATGGACAGGCTGAGGCCGGCCTCGGGGAGCCACGGAGGGGAGAAGGGCTGTCACCTGGGGGTGATGCAGGAAAAGTCGATGAAGAGAGAGGGAAAGATGAGAAAAATTTAGAGTGAAATCACCAGGACTGGGTGACATGGTGCATCCAGGAGGATGGAGAAGAGGATGAGTGTTCAGAGTCTGCCCTTTGTGACTGTCACGTTCCCCGCCAAGAAGCTGCCGAGTGAAGTGTGGGCTCGTCTGGGGAAAAGTGCCGGGTTCAGCCTTGGTTGTGTTGGGTTTGAATTCTCATTGTGGAAATCGGTGTGTGGAGGTGATGCCTGCACTCCCAGGGTGACCGCAGCGCTACTCACAGCTGCCAAGACCTGGAAATAACCTGAGTTATATAACCACCACCAAATGAATGGATGAGGAGAATGTGGTGTGTATATGCAATGGAATATTATTCAGCCCTAAAAAAGGAAGGACATTCTGTCATTCACAACAGCATGGATGAACCAGAGGACATTATGCTAAGTGAAATAAGCTGGGTACAGAAAGACAAATACCGCATGTGGAATCTAAAAAAGTTCATCTCGGCCGGGTGCAGTGGCTCATACCTGTAATCCCAGCACTTTGTGTGGCCGAGGTGGGTGGATCACCTGAGGTCAGGAGTTCAAGACCAGCCTGGCCAACATGGTGAAACCCCATCTCTACTAAAAACACAAAAATTAGCTGGGCGTGGTGGCATGCACCTGTAATCCCAGCTACTCGAGAGGCTGAGGCAGGAGAATCGCTTGAACTTGAGAAGTTGAGTTTGCGGTGAACCGAGATTGTGCCATTGCACTCCAGCCTGGGTGACAGAGTGAGACTCCATCCCAAAACAAACAAACAAACAAAAAAGGTCATCTCACAGAGTTAGAGATTAGAATGATGCTATTAAAGTCGGGAAATGGGGGGCTTGGGAGAGACACTGATCAAATGGTACAAAGTTTCGGTTAAACAGGAGGAGTAAGTTTTTGAGATCTATTGCATAGCAGGCTGACTATAGTTAATAATAACTTATTATATATTTCAAAATTGCTAAAAGTAGGTTTTAAATGTTCTCATCACAATAAGTATGTGATGTGATTGATATGTTATTTAGCCTTATTTAATCTTTCCACAATGTTTACATACGTTGTAACATCACATCGTGCCCCACAAACATATACAATTATTTGTCGATTAAAAATAAGATTTTTGGCTGGGCACAGTGGCTCATGCCTGTAATCCCAGCACTGTGGGAGGCTGAGGCGGGCGGATCATAAGGTAAGGAGTTCGAGACCAGCCTGGCCAATATGGTGAAACCCCATCTCTTCTAAAAATACAAAAAAAAAAAAATTAGCCAGGGGTGGTGGTGGGTGCCTGTAATCCCAGCTACTCAGGAGGCCGAGGCAGGAGAATCGCTTGAAACTGGGAGCAGAGGTTGCAGTGAGCCGAGATTATGCCACTGCATTCTAGCCTGGGTGATGGAGTGAGACTCCATCTCAAAAATAAAAATAAAATAAAATATAGGATTTTTGAAAATAAGAAAAGCAAAACATGACAGGTGGAGAATGAAGGAGAGAAAGGGGTGAGGGTTATGCATTTTACATTTGGAATAGTTTGCAATCTAGGGTATATTTAAAGGGATCTCTCCAGGCCCTCTAAGAATCAACATCACTCCCACCCAGCACTGCCTTTGGGGTGACAGAGGGGACTGGGAAGACGGGACGAAGGCATGACTTACCCTCCTGCGTGTGGATGGTCTGGGCCAGGCAGAGCACTGGAAGAGAAGCCCCAGTGAGAAAAATGCCCACTGCCCAGTCTCCTTACAGGGCTGCTGTCAAAAGGGGGCTTGACGGAGCTGGGGGGCATTCAGCATTTCATAACGACCAAGCCAACCCTCCTCGACATCACTGTCTCCATGTAATCCTTCTTGCTGCAAAATGGTTTCAAGATAAATCCCAAAGTCTCCTCTTCCAAAAAGGCTCCTGCTCCCCCAGCCCTTCTTTTTGGTGTTGTTGTTGGAGACGGAGTTTTGTTCTTGTCGCCCACGCTAGAGTGCAGTGGCGCGATCTTAGCTCACTGCAACCTCCACCTCCCGGGTTCAAGCAATTCTCCTGCCTCAGCCTCCCGAGTAGCTGGGATTACAGGTGCCCGCCACCATGCCCGGCTAATTTTTGTATTAGTAGAGATGGAGTTTCACCACGTTGGCCAGGCTGGTCTCAAACTCCTGACCTCAGGTGATCCACCTGCCTCAGCCTCCCAAAGTGCTAGGATTACAGGTGTGAGCACCGCGCCTGGCCCCCCAGCCCTTCTTAAAGCTGACCTCATCCCCACACCCGGGCCCCTGTTTTTAGGACAAGGTTGTCTCTGATCAGACTTAGGCCCCAGGGAGAGCAGTAGGGCAGTCTTGGGGGGAGGAGGACACTTTCCTCCCCAGAATCTTCTGGACTAGAGTCAGGCTTGAGCAGGGAACTTTCCAGACCTCCCGACCCCCTTTCCAGTCCTTCCCGCTCCCTCCAGGACACACCTAGGCCCAGGAGAGCAGTGAGGTGTGGAGACATGGCCCCGGTCCCAGAACTCTGCAGCAGACACAAGCAGACAGGATGTGCTGGCCGGGGGCCTCCTGCCCGTGGGGTTTCCACAGCAACTGCCTCACACAAGAGGGAGAGCTTTCTGTTCTGTTCTTTCCACCCTTCCCACTAGTGAGATGAGAGGGAGGGCCTTGGTTTCTGAAAAATGTCGCTTACCCGCATGATCAGATGACCTTAAACTAGTTACCCGATGTGTCAGCCTCTTTCTAAATCTATGGGACAAGACAGAATAAAGGTCGTGCAACCAACTGACTTGGATGTCATCCCAACTCCACACGTTAACGACCACCGCTCTTGGGCAAGATGTTACAAAACTAGAAGTCGACATGTCCTCGTATTTAAAATAAGAGTCATAGAAATCCTTCCCCAAGTTTTTAATATTGTGATCTCTGCTAAAATCTCAGCAAGGTATATAATGCATTAAAAAAGATCCTACAGTGCGCCGGGCGCGGTGGCTCACGCCTGTGATCCCAGCACTTTGGGAGGCTGAAAAATTGTGCACTCACTATAGAGAACAGTGGGGAGGTTCCTCAAAAAACTAAACATAGAGCTACCGTATGGTCCAACAATGCCACTTCTGGGTCTATATTTAAAAGAAACAAATTCAGTATGCAAAGAGCCGTCTGAACTCCCCTGATCACTGCAGCACTATTCGCAATAGCTAAGACGTGAAAATCATCTAAATGTCCATTGATAGAAGAATTGATATAGAAAATGTGGTGCACACACAGGGGAATACTATTCAGCCTTAAACAAGGAAGAAAATTCTGCCATGGGCGACAACACGGACGAAACCTGAGGACATCACGCCAAGCGACGCAGAGGCAGAGACCAAGTACTGCATGATGTCACTTACAGGAGATCTGCAAAGTCACCAGAGTCACAACATCACAGCAGGGAATGGTGGTTACGGGGGCTGGGAGGAGGGGGAAATGGGGAGTTATTAACAAACAGGCCTAGAGATCTGCTGCACCACATACGACCCATCGTCAGCAATAACGTCTTGTTCACTTGAAATTTGTTAAGAGGACAGAGCTCACGTTAAGTGTTCTAACAATGATACATAATAATAAATATTATATATAAATAATTATAATTATTACATCTAATAATAATATAATTAATATAATATTATTAGTTAAAATTGTTTATCTATTTTATACAGTCATTACATATATAATTGTTTATATATAATAATACAGCAAATACTATATATATGCAAGTTTATATATAATTGTTAATATATATAAACTATTATAATTATACATATACAATTAACAATTTGTGTGTGTGTGTGTGTGTGTGTATGTGTGTGTGGAGATGGAGTCGTACTCTGTTGCCCAGGCTGGAGTGCAGTGGTGCAATCTTGGCTCACTGCAACCTCCGCCTCCCAGGCTCAAGCAATTCTCTTGCCTCAGCCTGCTGAGTAGCCGGGACTACAGGCGCACGCCACCATGCCCGGCTAATTTTTGTATTTTAGTAGAGACGGGGTTTCACCATGTTGGCCAGGCTGGTCTTGAACTCCTGACCTCATGTGATCTGCCCGTCTCAGCCTCCCAAAGTGCTGTGATTACAGGTGTGAGCCACCGCGCCCGGCCCCATTAACAATGTTGTAATTATATATATTATGTATAATACACACACACATTCACACACACACACACACACACACACACACTCTACTAGCATAAGTTCTCTTCCCCTCCTCCTACAGTGTCATTTGGCTCCAGGTGGGAGTGAGGTGGTCCAACAGCACATGCAAAATCCCGAAGGGGTTGAAGGGTCAGGAGACAGTGCTTAGAACCTCGCGTTGAGGTCTGGGGTCAGATGGGCACTCAGCCGGGTGTGGAATGAGGAGCAGGACCAGGACCAGCAGTGCATTTCGGCATCACGGAGCTGAGGGGGACAGAGCCCACCCTATCATGGATTCTCATCTCCGCTGCTCCTGAGGACACTGGGGAGCTTGTCTCCAGGTGTAACCGTCGCAGGCATTGACGAGGGTCTACACCGCAGCCGTTGCTCACTTCTTCCTTACTGACCAAAAGCCAGTTCTGTTTGAGTGGTTGTGCTCCAAGCCCAGGGAGCAAGTGGGAGGGAAATGGAGTTTAGATTAAGGCGATTTTAGCAATCCCATTTTCAGGGTTTTCAGGGCGTATGACCAGATATGACCAATAATAATAAAGCAGAACAGAGCAATGTTCCTGGGAATCATATTTATCTCTTAATAACAGAGGGTTTCAAAAAAGAAAAAAAAAACCACCCTAGGCGACACAGTGAGACTCTGTCTCAAAAATAAAAAGAAAGTTTTTTGCATCAGAATAGTCCAAACATTTCAAAAACATTGAAACATTCCATCATAATCACTGCATTGCAGACTAGTCCTCCTCCCGAGACATGGTGGCTGTAATGATCTCAAGCTGGGATCTCATGGACGGACAGGGGAACTCAAGCTAAACCCTGGCCCTCAAAGAGTTCTGCGCAATGCAGTCCCAGGTATGTTCTTCCAATCTAATCCAACTTTCTGTGAATATGTTAGACTAAGTCCATAAGACAGCAATCCATCCAAAAAATAACAATAAACCAATTAAAACTGCTTAATATAATATATTAAAGACTTTTTTAGGCCAGGCGAGGTGGTTCACGCCTGTAATCCCAGCACTTTGGGAGGCTGAGGTGGGCGGATCACGAGGCAAGGAGATCGAGACCATCCTGGCTAACACGGTGAAACCCCGTCCCTACTAAAAATACAAAAAAATTTAGCCGGGCGTGGTGGCGGGCGCCTGTAGTCCCAGCTACTCGGGAGGCTGAGGCGAGAGAATGGTGGGAACCCGGGAGGCGGAGGTTGCAGTGAGCCGAGATCATGCCACTGCACTCCAGCCTGGGCGACAGAGCTAGACTCCGTCTCAAAATATATATATATTTTTTTTTAATTTTTTTAATGCCTAAGAGATATAAAAACTAAGTGAAGGCTATTCAGTCAAAAGTTAAAGAAAGATGGAGTCCCCAGCCTCAAGCTGAATACTGAACCTGGTGCTCACCTTGATGATGATGAATTAACTGAGCTTTATTTTCATGGTTTTGTAAATCATGAGGACAAGGATAAAGTGCAGGGGTACAGAACAGATTCCAAAAGCTTCCGCCTCATCATAAGAATGATTTCAAATCACTCACCAACTTCTCGTGGTTGCAAGGAATACTACATTTGTTTTGAAACTTAGCATTGAACACGAGGCCAAAACACAGCGGCTCCTGAGAATGACCTTCCTGCTTCTGACTCTTCTTTCATGTGTAGAATGGTTTCTATGTATTAGATTCTCCTCCCTGCCTCTTTTCACTTTAGGTCTTCATTAGCGATTTTTAATCAGCTTTATCAAGGAATCCTTGGCAGACAAACTGCCTTCTTTGAATCTGTGCCATTCAGTGAATTCTGACAGCTGTGAAACCACCAACATATCCAAGATTTTCCTCACTACTCAGATGATTCCTCCTGCTGACAGAATCAACATCAAAGGTCACAGAACACATGGGCAGTTATTCTGGGTTTTTCCATAAAAGGGGTGATACAGAGCTGTCGTCGTTCCATATTCTCAAAGGGCCCCTCCACCTTTGCATTCCTCTAAGACTTCAATCCCAGCTGGAGAAGGTCTATGTCCAAGGCATGCTACAGATTCAGCACAGCACAGCTTACTCATTCAAAAACATTACTTGGACGGGGCTCAGTGGCTCACACCTGTAATCCCAGCACTTCGGGAGGCCAAGGTGGGCGGATCACGAGGTCAGGAGTTCAAGACCAGCCTGGCCAACATGATGAAACCCCCTATCTACTAAAAATACAAAAATTACCCGGGCTTGGTGGCGGGCACCTATAATCTCAGCTACTCAGGAGGCTGAGGCAGGAGAATGGCTTGAACCCAGGAGACGGAGCTTGCAGTGAGCCGAGATCATGCCACTGCACTCCAGCCTGGACAACAGAGCGAGACTCCATCTTAAAAAAAAAAAAGAAAAAAAAGTTACTTGATGTGGGATGCACAGGCATAGAGTAATGATTCTCACACTAGACTCAGATACATACACAATATTTGCAACTTAAATTAAACACCAATTAAATGTCAAGTGGAAAGACAACATCTACATAAATAAAATGACATAAGATGCAACGTGAAATGTCATTAAAAGAAGAGTTTGCATTAGAATAGTTCAAATATTTCAAAACTATTCCAGCACCATCACTGCATTGCTGACCTATCTTCCTCCTGAGATGTGGTCGCCGTAATGATCTCAAGCTTGGACCTCGTGGACAGACTGGGGAACTCAAGCAAAACCCCAGTCCTCACAGTTCTGCACGTTGCAATCCTGTGTCGTTCCGTCCAATCTAATCCAATCTCAAGGACCCCAGTTCCTGAGCAACCCTGGCTTGGCTCGGCCAAAGGGAAGCGTCTACAGAATCTGAGTCTAGAATGCCTGGAGGTCTGTACTTCTTGCTGTTTTCAGGAGATTCAACTGCAAAGCCCTCCCCAAGTCATCCACATTGGCTCACGTTTCTGTGCCCCACCCTTCCTGCCTGGGAGGACCCTTCTTGTTCAGCCAAAAAAGCAACCTGAGGGTGGTGTGGTAGCAGGGACTCACCCATTTCTCTTTCCATCTTCTGGCCCGGATGCAACCCTGGAAGGAAGACCTCAGGACGATGATCATCTTCATAGGATTCCCGACCTGTGCCTGGCTTTGTCCTGAATATTAGCCTTGGCAGCCTGGCCTGGGCTCCGATGGTGGATGAACTTGGCTTTCCATGGGCTGCCACCTCCAGCCTGCGCTGTGGAGAGACCAGGTCCTCGGAACAGTATTTTAACCTTGTCCTCCTTTCCCTTCCAGGGTTTACCAAGACATAGCGGGTGTCATAGATGTGAAAAAGCTTCTGCTATACCAGGGTCAGGAACAGAGCAAAACTGAAAACCGCACAGGATGTGGTCTGCCAGGTGCCAGCATCACAGCTCAAATCCTTAAGAAGCTCCAACCGCAGGCATGGAAATAAACAGCTTCTCCCTGCCCTGTATACGTCTCCGATTTTACCCAGGATGGGCTGAGGAAGCAACACAGATTCCCAAATGTTACTTTTTTATTTTGCTTGAGAGCCAAGGCAATATTAGACAAGCCTTACTCCCTAATTAGTGCCTGACAAGAACCATATCTCTGTCCCAATCCTTCTATTCAAATTAGGCACAATTTGCTTTTACCAAATGTAAAACTCATGTCAAAGCCATGCTGTGAGTATTTACACCAGAGAAATCGGCAAATGCTACACGTCGGGGTTGTTTTTTGTTTTTCTTTTTGCTTTTTTTTTCAGAGAGCTGATTGTCAAGACTTTACCAGCACACTGCTGGTAAATTTCCAAAGGCCAATTTAAAGAAATTTTTTTAACAGAACATGTAAAAAAAAAAATCAACGTGAAGTCAACATGCTCCAGGGAAATCAGAGGCTTGATGAAGCATGACTATCTCTGTAGTGTATACTCCAGCCTGTTTCCCCCTCCTACCTCAGGTACCGTAACCAGCATCTGAAGTCTTATATTCAAATTTCCCTTGCACGGCCGGGCACGGTGGCTCACGCCTGTAATCCCAGCACTTTGGGAGGCCGAAGTGGGCGGATCACAAGGTCAGGAGATCAAGACCACCCTGGCTAACACAGTGAAACCCCATCTCTACTAAAAATACAGAAAATTAGCTGGGTGTGGTGGCGGGCGCCTGTAGTAACAACTACTCGGGAGGCTGAGGCAGGAGAATGGCATGAACCCAGGAGGTGGAGGTTGCAGTGAGCCGAGATTGCGCCATTGCACTCCAGTCTGGGCGACAGAGTGAGACTCTGTCTCAAAAAAAACAAATTTCCCTTGCACTTTTGTATATACAGTGTTATCTCATCGATGTATCAGTTTGGCATGTGTGTGTATATATATGTAGGCTGTCATCTTTAAGATTTATTTATTTATTCATTCATTCATTTATTTGAGACAGGGTCTCGCTCCGTCACCCAGGCTGGAGTGCATTAGCACAATCTCAGCTCACTGCAGCCTCCACTTCCTGGGGTCCAGAGATCCTCCCACCTCAGCCTCCTGAGTAGCTGGGACCACAAGCACACACCACCACACTCCGCAAGTTGTTGTTTTGTTTTGTTTTGTTTTGTTTTGTTTGATAGAGATGGGGTTTTGTCTTGTTGCCCAGGCTGGTCTCAAACTCCTGAGCTCAAGCTCACCCACCTTGTCCTCCCAAAGTGCTAGGATTACAGGCGTGAGCCAACACACTTGAGCCATGCTGTCATTTTGTTGTTGTTGTTGCTGTTGTTGAGACAGACTCTCACTCTGTCACCCAGGCTAGAGGGCAGTGGCACCATCTCGGCTCACTGCAACCTCTGCCTCCACAGTTCAAGTGATTCTCCTGCTTCAGCCTCCTGAATAGCTGGGATAACAGGCACCCACCACCACACCCAGCCAATTTTTGTATTTCTAGCAGAGACGGGGTTTCGCCATGTTGACCAGGCTGGTCTCGAACTCCTGACCTCAGGTGATTCACCTGCCTTGGCCTCCCAAAGTGCTGGGATTACAGGCGCTCAATTTTAATTTTAGTGCAAAGTATAGTTTTCAAAACACTGTTTGCAATGTCATCAAATACAGAATGAGCATGCATCAATGTTTCCTTAATTCATTAATGATGAAATCATCATTCAAAATTCCTATCTTTACCCAAATATTTAGCTTCTTCTGTTGCTCTTCATTTGTTCCTGCGTTTCTCCATTTCCACTGGGATGATTTCCTCTTGCCCAAGCCTTTTATTCTGGCAACCAATGAACTTTACACTCTTTCTATAGTTTTGCATCTTCCAGAATGTCACATAGTTGGAATCAGACAGTGGATACGCCATTTGGGCAGGCTTATTTCGTGTAGTGATATACGTTGAACTCTCCTCCACGTCTTTTCATGACTTGAGAGCTTGTATCTTCTTAGCATGGGATAATATTCCATTGTCTCGACACATAGTTAATCCACTCACTTACTGAAGGGCATCTTGGTTGCTTCCAAGTTTGGGCGATTATGAATAAAGCTACTGTAAAGATTCATATGCAGACTTTATGTGAACATACATTTCAAACTTCCTTGGGTAAATACCAAGGAATGCAATTGCTGGATTACATGGCAAAGCTACATTTAGTTTTAGAAGAAATTGCCGCACTGTCTCCCAAAGTGACTGTACCATTTGGCAATCCCACCAGCAATGAGAGTTCCTGTTGCTCCACATCCTCACCAGTATGCCAGTATGTGGTATTGTCCATGTTTTAGAATTTGGCCACTCTAATAGGTGTGTCGTGGTAACTTGGTTCCTAAGATACTGATAGAGGTGCAGAACACCAGCTGGGAAGTCAGCCAGAATGAGCTTCTCCTGTGACTTCCTGTCCCACAGCCTCAGAGACCTCGGACAAGCCACTTCACCTATAAACTTCTCTCTTCTTTTTTTTTGAGACAGAGTCTCGCTCTTGTCACCCAGGCTAGAGTGCAATGGCACCATCTCAGCTCACTGCAACCTCTGCCTCCCAGGTTCAAGCGATTCTTCTGCCTCAGCCTCCTGAGTAGCTGGGATTACAGGCACACGCCACCACGACCAGCTAATTTTTCTATTTTTAGTAGAGACGGGGTTTCCCCACGTCAGCCACGCTAGTCTTGAATTCCTGACCTCAGGTGATCCACCCACCTCAACCTCCCAAAATGCTGGGATGACAGGCGTGAGCCACCCCACTCGGCTACTTCCCTTATAAATTTTTCTAAATATAAATGTGTGAATTTTCTTTCTTCAGAAGCCGATCAACCAATATTTATCAATTGCTTATTATCTGCTTGGTGTTTGAGATTCAGGAGTGAACAAAACAGATGCAGCCCCTGCCCTCAACAGAGCTTGAGTCTAATGATGATAGGGACAGGATCAAAGAGCAAATCACAAATTGTTTAGCTACTATTGTGAGGTAAGAGTTAGGGTGACACTAACCACCGTTATAAGTAAGTCTTAAAATACTGGCCGGGCGCGGTGGTTCACGCCTGTAATCCCAGCACTTTGGGAGGCCGAGGCAGGCGGATCACGAAGTCAGGAGATCGAGACCATCCTGGCTAACACAGTGAAACCCCATCTCTACTAAAAATGCAAAAAATTAGCCAGGCGTGATAGTGGGTGCCTGTAGTCCCAGCTACTCAGGAGGCTGAGGCAGGAGAATCGCTTGAACCTCGGAGGCAGAGCTTGCAGTGAGCCGAGATCTCGCCACTGCACTCCAGCCTGGGCGACAGTGCGAGACTCCATCTCAAAAAAGAAAAATTACCGATGGCTTAACACAGTGAGGTTTGGCATCTCACTCATGTAAATGACCAATGAGGGTTTCTCTGGGCAGAATTTGAATTTTCTCCCCAGGATGACTCAGGGACATCCGCTTCTTCCATTGTGCTCACATCATCCCCTTGGGCAATGGCGTCCCATACTTCAAACAGAAAGAGGAGACACAGAAAATATTTGTAAACTTGCAAAATTGATTGACGCACATCATTTCTGTCCAGATTTTTGGCTATAAGTAGTCATTATGGTCAGTCACACATGGATGCAAAGGAGACTAGGAAAAAAGTCCCTTGGTGAGGGTAGCCACCTCCCAGAGATTCAAATGCTTGCACTGTAAGAGGAAGTAGAGAATTCTTTTTTTCTGGTGAGCAGCCACACATCTCTGCCTCACGTGAAAAATAATCTCAAGAAGAAATGTACCTGAGACTGTATAGCCAAGGAGCACGACGTTGTGATACCCTGACTGATGGACCATGTGGGGTGATTGAATCTCCTGATCTTAGAAGGAACTTGCCAAACGAAAGTTTCAAGTAACATCAAAGAGAAACATCTCCATGTTCCTTCTGGAACCCATGCACACCTTAGCTAACCTGCATGGAGTTGTAGAAACCACTAGAACTGAGGGAGGCAGCTCCATGCAAGGGTGACGGCCTTCTCCCCTCCCAGTTCTCTTAGTTCTGGAGTTCGATGAAGGACGGGGTCCACACGGCCCACTCCGTTTCCTCTTTCTCTGAACCGGGGTTGCAGAACCTGAACCCAGACAACCTCTGGGTATGAGTCCGGCCCCAGATCACAGCTGTGGTTTTGGCTGCCGCGGTGGCCGTGACAAAGTCCTGAGTCGTTTGCTGTTGTGGGTATGATGGACAGCTGCGACGTTTTCCTGGACTCCCACTGAAATCTTTAACTTCAAGATCATCTTCTCCATCCCAACAGAACTCATCAGGCCCAGAAGGCTCTCAGCCCCAGAGGTTCCCAGAGCTCTTCAGGTGGAATGTTGAGTCTGCACAAGCCAGGATGGTGACTCTGGAGAAGTTCTCCAGAAAAGAATCAGCATCTAGAGTCTCATGAGTTCCAGGCCCTTAGAAATTCAGACTCCAGAACCACTGCCAAAGTGACCCCCTCAGCCCAGCCCTTCGGTACCCAGCATCCACTGTCCTGAGCCCAGCCCTTCCATACCCAGCATCCACTGTCCTGAGCCCAGCCCTTCAGTACCCAGCATCCACTGTCCTGAGCCCAGCCCTTTGGTACCCAGCATCCACTGTCCTCATCCCAGCCCTTCCGTACCCAGCATCCACTGTCCTGAGCCCAGCCCTTCGGTATCCAGCATCCACTGTCCTGGTGGGAGTCCGCTGTGCTGCTCCAAGAAGACAGACCCTCACCATTACCGGAGAGACTGACCCTCCTGTGTCCAGGTCCTGTGGCCCAGACTCAGCTCTGGAAGAGAAATCTGGATTTACAATGCTCAGTACTTCGCTCAAAATCTGCACTCGATGACGTCTGCAAGCTCTTGGTCCCAACCTGGACTGCGAAGCCTGAGGCTTGGGCAGATAATGCCTTCCTGCCATCATCTCTGCTCCCTCTTCAGTCGCTAAGCTCCCACAGCATTGATCTAACCAGACATGGGCCCAGGGAGAGAGCTGTCTTCCCCGCCTCCCAGCCCCAATCCCTCATTCCCTCGCCTGCCATGCCAAGACTGGTCAAGGGAAAGTCCAGGAAGAAAGCATGGTAAGGGGCACCGTGCTGCCTGCGCCCGCCTCGCTGTGCAGATGGCAGAGGCTCGGGATGCGGTGCGCAGAGACTCAGTCCCGACCGTCTTGTGGCTTCTTACCACGTATCTCCCAGGAAGGCACCATGAGGCTTAGTTCTTCCTTCCTGTGACTGGGGTAAAGGAGAGAACTGTCTCCTTGGACATCATCATCCATACGACTGGCCCGAACGTCATCTCTGACCGAAACACCAAATCCAGATGGGCAACCACGGCTGTGGGGTGTGGAGGGGGAATCTGAACACCAACCTGGAGGTCAGACTTGAAGGAGACGGCGACGCTGCCTTCGCCCCATTCACAATATACGACCTTCGATGGGCCACCTCCCCAGTGAGGCTTCATCAAGGGGGCTTGGTCAACTTCCTTTTTGTGTGAACCAAAACGTACATTTCCAGGCGGCTATTAAGGGCTTGAGTCTGTGTCAGAGACGAGCCACGCAAGTCAACGGACCTCACAGTCTAATGTGGAGGGCACACCTCTGACTATTCAAATGTCATATAGGCCGGGCACAGTGGCTCACACCTGTAATCCCAGCACTTTGGGAGGCTGAGGCAGGAGGATCACTTGAGGTCAGGAGTTCAAGACCAGCCTCACCAACATGGTGAAACCCCATCTCTACTAAAAATACAAAAAAAGTAGCCAGGCCTGGTGGTGCATGCCTACAATCCCAGCTACTCAAAAGGCTGAGGCAGGAGAATCGCTTGAACCGGGAGGCAGAGGTTGTGGTGAGCCGAGATTGCACCATTGCACTCCAGCCTGGGCGACAAAAGCAAAACTCCATCTTAAAAAAAAAAAAAAAAGTCATATAAAGCACATTAACGGTAGATTTTAACAAATTAGCCTCGAAATATCTGCAGTTTGTCACAATGGAATGGTCACTACTCACTTGTGTTACACGTCCATATAGGGGCCCCCGGTTGGCAGTTGGAGCTCCTCCATCAGGTGACTCAGGTGCCCAGATTCTTCCACCTTTGGGATCCAACCTCCCCTAGAACCCTGGAGTGCTCTGTCACCAGTGAGGGGAAAGAGGAAGAGAGAATGGAAAGGGCTCATCCGTGCCTTTTAAATAAAAAATCTGAATGTCGCTTATCACTGCTGCTCACATTCCAAGGGTGGGAATTAGTCAGGAGTCCACAGCTGGGTACAAGAAGGATGAAGATAGGGTCCCTCATGGGGCAGCTGCCTCCAGGGACAACTCTACACCACGTAAGAGAGCTGTGAGTTTTGTTGCACTGAGAGCCATATCTGCTGATGTAGTAAGTGCTCCAGAGGAAAAAAAAAAATCCTATGACCTTGTGTGAAAAGGGGACTTGGGCCGGTCATGGTGGCTCAATCCTGTAATCCCAGCACTTTGGGAGGCCGAGGCGGGTGGATCACCTGAGGTCAGAAGTTCCAGACCATCCTGGGCAACATGGGGAAACCCCGTCTCTACTAAAAATACAAAAATTAGCCAGGCGTGGTGGCAAGCGCCTGTAACCCCAGCTACTCAGGAGGCTGAGGCAGGAGAATCATTTGAACCCAGAAGACGGAGGTTGCAGTGAGCCGAGATGGCACCACTGCACTCCATCCTGGGTGACAGAGCGAGACTCTGTCAAGAAAGAAAGAAAGAAAAAGAAAGAAAGAGAGAAAGAGAGAGAAAGAGAGAAAGAGAGAGAAAGAGAGAAAGAGAGAGAAAGAAAGAAAGAGAAAGAGAGAGAAAGAGGAGAGAGAAAGAAAGAAAGAAAGAAAGAAAGAGAAGGAAGAGAGAGAGAAAGGGAGGAAGGGAGGAAGGAAGGAAAGGGAGAGAGAGAGAAAGAGAGAAGGAAAGAAAGGAAAGGAAGGGAGAAAGAGAAGAGAGAGAGAGAAAGAAAGAAAGAGAAGGGAGCGGGGGAAGGAAGGAAGGAAGAGAGAAAGGAAGGAAGGAAGAAAGAGAAAGAGAGAGAGAAAGAAGCAAAGGAAGGGAGGGAGAGAGAGAAAAAAGAAAGGAAAGAAAGGAAGGAAGGGAGGGAGAAAGGAAGGAAGGAAGCAAGGAAGGAAGGAAGAAAGAGAAAGAGAGAAAGAAGGAAAGGAAGGGAGGGAGAGAGAGAGAAAGAAAGGAAGGAAGGAAGAAAGAGAAAGAGAGAAAGAAGGAAAGGAAGGGAGGGAGAGAGAGAGAAAGAAAGGAAGGAAGGAAGAAAGAGAAAGAGAGAAAGAAGGAAAGGAAGGGAGGGAGAGAGAGAGAAAGAAAGGAAGGAAGGAAGAAAGAGAAAGAGAGAAAGAAGGAAAGGAAGGGAGGGAGAGAGAGAGAAAGAAAGGAAGGAAGGAAGGAAAGAAGGAAGGAAGGAGGGAAACAAAAAGAAAAGAAAAGCAAGAGAACCTCAGAGCTGACCCCAGGGAAGCCACCTGCAGTGTGGAGTGGAATCCGGGCTGAGGACTGACGAGCTGGCGACAGGAAGAGCAGCTGGGGGGAGACGTGGACAGAGGAGACAGCTTCTGTGAAAGTCCCCATCAGGAGATAATTTGCCTGTTGTAAGTCGAGTGGACTCCAGATGGAAAAATAATGAAGAAGAATATGTACATTGATTGAGCAGGAGTCTCTAAAAGGCCAAGTAGAGTTTTGGTATTTTACCCTCACGAGAGTGGGACAGGTTTTGAGCCTAAGCGTGGCATCATCATATTTTTGTCTAAAACATATCGGTAAGACCTTCCTGAAGTCAGAATTGCACAAGGCAATCAAAGGAAGAGATAACCTTTCTGAGCTCTCGCTCTATGCCAGACACTGCTCCGAGTATCCCTTATGGGTAGTTCCTTTAATTCTCACAACTTTGGGAAGATGTTTTCATCATTAGGCCAGTTTTACAGATGAGAACAGTGACGCTCAGGGAGTTAATTTGATTAGCATCTTGCATCAAGCTGTCCCGGAGGTAGGGCCGACGGCAGCTTACCTGGAATGCTGGCGTTATCGTCAGAAGCATACCACATGCCTTCATGAAAATCAGACTCTCCCTCCAAAATGCAGGTCTAATTTCATAAAATAAGGTACGCTGATAATAAAATGCAATTGGGTAGTAAAATAACAACACAATACAATAAAAACATTCGCCACTCTGTGCCACTCTTCTGATCAGAAACTTTCCAGGACTTCCCGCCTCAGTCATATTGACACGACTGCGTCTTCTGTCTCCCAACTTGGGTTAGTACTTTGATAGCATCTCCTCCGACTCTGCCTTTCACTGACTGTGATGCAGTCCCAGTGACCTCCTTGCTATTCCTAAAAAAACATCAAGCAAGCATCTGCCTCAGGGCTCATCCACATGCCATTCTCGACTGGAATGCTCTTCACCCAGACAGGCACAAGGCTCATCCCTCCCTCTCCTTCACTGTCAACCCCAGTATCTCCTTATCCTTCAGACCTTCTTGGACCATCCTGTCTGAAGTTGCAACACTCCCTCCAGATTTCGTATCACCTCTCGCTGCCTTTTTTCTTTCTTCAGCATATATCATTAATCTTCAGCATATGTGCACGTATTTTACTTATTAATATTGTAGACTATCTGCCTTCCCACTACAATGTATCCCCATGAAACCATAGATTTTTTTCCTGCAGTGTTTCCTGTAGTGTCCCTGCACCTGGAACACTCCCTAGCACATAGTACATAATAAATATTTTTGAATGAATGATGAATGAATAGACATAGTATATAGGGAGTATGGGGAAAGTTATGAGTGCATAACTTGATTTATCTAGTACAATTCCAGAGGCCAGATCTCTAGATTTTAATTTTGGTCGTGCCAGTTATAAGCTCTCTCACTTTAAACTAAGTTTATTTACCTCTCTATTTCTTTGCCTCTTCCTCTGTAAAATAAAAAAGCAATGGTGCCTAACTCATGGAACTGTTGTGATTATTCAGTGAGTAATTATGTTAATGGTACTCAGACTGAAATTACTTAATAACTGGCTATCGAGTAATTTAGTAATAAGAGATTTGTAGGAAAATATTAATCAAGATGTTTGTAGCAATTAATATTAGGTCAAGGGAGTTTAAATGGCTCTTCATTTTTTGAGGTGTTTTTATTTGGATTTTTAAATTGAGTATGTGTTAGCCTTATAACTGAAAAAAATTAAATTATTTATACCTGAGGGAAAAAATAAAATGAAATAAAAGTGCCCCCTTTAAGGAGCTGAGGGTATTGGCTTAGAAAGAACAGGCAAGGTATCAAGATCTCTTTCCTATGACTGTTACCTCCTCATTTTTCCCTCTTGAGTTTCAGTCATGCAAGATGAGGAAGGCCTACAGTCTCCTGTGCGGCTTAGTGTGTGCAGGGAACAAGACTGCCTTGTACCCTTACAAATTTGCTAAGATAGATCTTATGTTATGTGCACTTGTCATCATAAATTGATAGGTGATAATATCAATATTATCAAATAATAACAAATAGGCTGGGCGCAGTGGCTCGTGCCTGTAATGCCAGCATTTTTGGAGGCCGAGGTGGGCGTATCACCTGAGGTCAGGAGTTCGAGACCAGCCTGGCCAACATGGTGAAACCCCGTCTCTACTAAAAATACAAAAATTAGCCAGGCATGACGGTGCGCACCTGTAATACCAGCTACTCAGGAGGCTGAAGCAGGAGAATCGCTTGAACCCAGGAGGCAGAAGTTGCAGTGAGCCAAGATTGCACCATTGCACTCCAGCCTAAATGACAGAGCAGTCTCCGTCTCAAAAAAAAAAAAAAAAAAAAAAGTTCCATCCCAATAACACTTCAAAAACACTTTTGAGTTCTGACTTTATTTCTTCTTATTTTCAATGGAATTCATTCTACTGTTTTCACATTTACCATTCAGGGATATTTGGACAGAATTACACGGCCACAGGTCAACCACAATGACCATGATTCCCTTTCTAAGAATGAGGAACGGGGGCCGGGTGTGGTGGCTTACGCTTGTAATCCCAGCATTTTGGGAGGCCGAGGCGGGCAGATCACCTGAGGTCAGGAGTTCGAGACCAGCCTGGCCAACGTGGAGAAACCCTGTCTCTACTAAAAATACAAAAAATTAGCCAGGTGTGGTGGTGTACACCTGCAATCCCAGCTACTCAGGAGGCTGAGGCAGGAGAATTGCTTGAACACGGGAGATGGAGGTTGCAGTGAGCCAAGATTGCACCATTGTACTCCACCCTGGACGACAGAGCAAGACTCTGTCTCAAAAAAAAAAAAAAAGAAAGAAAGAAAAGAAAAGAAAATGACTTAATGGGTACAATGCACATTATTTGGGGAATGGATAACCTGGAAGTCCCGATTTCATCACTGGGCAATCTTTACATGCAACAAAATTACACTTGTACCCCATAAATGTTTACAAAGTTTTTTAAAAATATAGAAAAATGAAAGGCAAAAGTAAGCATGCTTTCTTAAAAATAAAAAGTAGTCCTAATGCTAGATGACGAGTTAGTGGGTGCAGTGCACCAGCATGGCACATGTATACATATGTAACTAACCTGCACAATGTGCACATGTACCCTAAAACTTAAAGTATAATAATAAATAAAAAAAAAGTAGTCAGACTGAGCCTGACATTACTAAGGGTTCTAATATTGATTATTATTATTTACTTATTTATTTTTTGACATGGAGTTTCACTCTTGTCACCCAGGCTGGAGTGCAGTGGCACAATCTTGGCTCACTGCAACCTCTGCCTCCCAGGTTCAAGTGATTCTCCTGCCTCAGCCTCCTGAGTAGCTGGGCTTCTAGGCCTCTGCCACCACGCCCAGCTATTTTTGTATTTTTAGTAGAGACGTGGATTCACCATGCTGGCCAGGCTGGTCTCGAACTCCTGACCTCAGGTGATCCGCCCGCCTCGGCCTCCCAAAGTACTGGGATTACAGGTGTGAGCCACCGCGCCTGGCCTAATATTGATTATTAATGATTGTTATCATAATTGTTATTTTCATTATTGGTGTGTTGTTATATTTATATGTACAAAACAGCAACAATGGAGAACCCACATTCTTTTCAGGAACATATGAAAAATCTACAAAAATTGACCACTTCTTAATCCACCAAGAAGGTCTCAAAATATTCCAAAGATTTAATATAATGAAACCATATTTCGTGACTGCAAAAATTACATAAAAGACCAAAAATTAAACGTTTAAAAAACACACATTTTTAAAACAACAACAAAAATCTGCATAACTTTTGAGTGACTGTTAAAAAAAAAAACACAGAAGTTGTGACATATTTAGAAATGAACAATGTTATTCATATCGAAACTTAGATGCAATAAAAATCACACTTAAAGTGAAATGTGGATTGTTTTAAGCACACTTTTTTTTTTTTTTTTTTTTTTTTTTAGAAATTATGAAGTTTGGGGCTGGGCATGGTGGCTCACGCCTGTAATCCCAGCACTTTGAGAGGATGAGGTGGGTGGATCACGAGGTCAGGAGATCGAGCCCATCCTAGCTAACACGGTGAAACCCCAAACCCCGTCTCTACTAAAAAAATTAGCCGGGCGTGGTGGCGGGCGCCTGTAGTCCCAGCTACTCGGGAGACTGAGGCAGGAGAATCGCTTGAACCCGGGAGGTGGAGGTTGCAGTGAACCGAGATCGCG
The DNA here is from genome assembly GCF_000001405.40 of Homo sapiens. Classification (NCBI taxonomy): domain Eukaryota; kingdom Metazoa; phylum Chordata; class Mammalia; order Primates; family Hominidae; genus Homo; species Homo sapiens. Next base: position 390,913 of record NW_003571060.1, on the reverse strand, counting down.
CCACCGTACTCCAGCCTGGGTGACAGAGACTCCATCTCAAAAAAAAAAAAAAGAAATTATGAAGTTTGGAGAATTAATCACTGAACATGCAACTTGAGGAGCTGGAATGAAAAAAAAGAAGTAAAGGGCAGAGAGGAGGAAGCCAGCCAGCAGTGACGCAAGGGAGAGAGAAAAAATGCCTCCCTAAGGGCTCACCGCACTCACCAAGCTGCATTATCTCAAAGGAAAAAGAAAATAAAGAAGACCTCAAAGGTGGGAGAAAAAACACAATGGTGTACTAAGTTTCTATTATCATAATTACATCAGACTTCTCATCAGTCAGTCTGGAATTTAGAAGACCAGGGAGAAATATATTTGAAAATGCCCCATGGGCCAGGCTCCTGACTGTAATCCCAGCACTTTGGAAGGCAGATGCGGGCAGATCACCTGAGGCCAGGAGTTCGAGACCAGCCTGGCCAACATGGTAAAACCCTGTTTCTACTAAAAATACAAAAAAATTAGCTGGACCTGGTGGCTGGCGCCCATCATTTCAGCTCGGGAGGCTGAGTAGGAGAATTGCTTCAACCTGGGAGGTGGAGATTGCAGTGAGCTGAGATCGCACCACTGCACTCCAGCATGGGCAACAGAGTGAGACTTGTCTCAAAAAAAGAAAATAAAAAGAAAATCGCCTATGTACTTTATGGAGAGATCCCAGAGTGTATTCTTAGGGATTAAATCTGTATTGTGCCAAGAATTGGGGGAATCAGAATATACATTCATATTGTCTCATATTCACCCAGAAACAAACACTGGAAGGATTAATATGAGAAAGTTAAAATTGTGGCTCTCCCACGTTTTCTTCCCCGTCCACCACCTGGACAAGCTGCAGTCCTAGAAATCGCCTCAACTGCTCCTCTTTCTCACCCTCTCCCCTTGTTCTACCTTCAGAATCTGTCCTCATGCAGACACTGCTTGCCAGCACCACGGCGCCAGGTTCACCCTCTCTCCCCTCGTCCAGGGAACATCCCCTAGCTGGTCTCTCCACGCTCATTTCGTGCTACTCAGCTGCCCCTCCCCATATTGTAGTCAGAATAATCTTTCTTTTTTTTTTTTTTTTTTGAGACGGAGTCTCACTCTGTCGCCCAGGCTTCAGTGCAGTGGCGTGATCTTGGCTCACTGCACCCTCCACCTCCCGGGTTCAAGCGATTCTCCTGCCTCAGCCTCCCGAGTAGCTGGGATTAGAGGCACCCACCACCACGCCTGGCTAATTTATTTGTATTTTTAGTAGAGACGGGGTTTCACCATGTTGCCCAGGATGGTCTCGATCTCTTGACCTCATGATCCGCCCGCCTCAGTCTCCCAAAGTGCTGGGATTACAGGCATGAGCCCCTGCACCCGGCCCCAGAGTGATCCTTTAAAAGCATAAATCAGATTATGTTTTGTTACCATTGAAATCTCCAGTGACTTCATAGTACACATGGCCCAAAACCCAAACTCTGTGACCTACGGGACACTTACTCATCTTTCCAATTTCACGTTGGTCCCTGTGCCCCTCACTCCCTGCCCTCAGGCCACATGACATTCCTGCTGTTCCTTGAAGACACCAGGTCCCTCCCTGCCTCGGGGCTCCGCGTCTCTGCCTGGGTGCACCGACCTCCTGCTTTGCACCACAGCCTCCAGGTCTCTGCTCAGCATCATCTCAGCAAGAAGAGCCTTCCTAGACCACTGTGTTGAAAGAAGTCCACTAGCCCGACACCCATTCCTTCGCTAAGAAGATTCGTCTTCATTTCCTCTTGACGTTCATCCTCCTTTCTAATTATCCACTCATTGACTTGTACGCTGTCCCTCTCCCGCCGTTAGAATGGAGACTTCACTTGGCCAGGGAAGTCTTGGCTCTTCTGTCTTGATCATCACTTTATCACTGGTACTTAGGGCCTGGCACATAATAGATGCTCAGCAAACACTTGTAGAATGAAGAGCAGTGAATTAGAAACATATTGCCCATCACTTAATGGACACTTAAATATTAAATAAACAATGCCCTGCCCCCCACCTGCCCAGTGCAATGGAATACTGTGTGGTCATTAAAAATGATGGTGCTGTTTAACTTTCATTGACATGGAAGATACCGAGGATTTTGTTGAGTGAGCAAAACAGGAAAAAAAACACGTATATAGAGGCCACATGTAAGTTAAATTACATATGCATGTTTATACACATGTTTATGGAAGGAGAGATTTGTAGGAAAATATTAATCACGATGTTTGTAGCAGTTAATATTAGGTCAAGGGAGTTTAAATGGCTCTTCATTTTTTGAGGAGTTTTTATTTGGATTTTTAAATTGAGTATGTGTTAGCCTTATAACTGAAAAAAATTAAATTATTTATACCTGAGGGAAAAAAAATAAAATGAAATAAAAGTGCCCCCTTTAAGGAGCTGAGAGTATTGGCTTAGAAAGAACAGGCAAGGTATCAAGATCTCTTTCCTATGACTGATAACTCCTCATTTTTCCCTCTTGAGTTTCAGTCATGCAAGATGAGGAAGGCCTAGAGTCTCCTGTGCGGCTTAGTGTGTGCAGGGAATAAGACTGCCTTGTACCCTTACAAATTTGCTAAGATAGATCTTATGTTAAGTGCACTTGTCATCATAAATTGATAGGTGATAATATAAATATTATCAAATAATAACAAATAGGCTGGGCGCAGTGGCTCGTGCCTGTAAGGCCAGTATTTTGGGAAGCCGAGGTGGGCTTTATCACCTGAGGTCAGGAGTTCGAGACCAGCCTGGCCAACATGATGAAACCCCGTCTCTACTAAAAATACAAAAATTAGCCAGGCATGATGGTGCGTGCCTATAATATCAGCTACTCAGGAGGCTGAAGCAGGAGAATCGCTTGAACCCAGGAGGCAGAGGTTTCAGTGAGCCGAGATCGCACCATGCACTCCAGCCTCGGCGACACAGCGAGTCTCCGTCTAAAAAAAAAAAAAAAAAAAACAAAAAACCCCATCCCAATAACACTTCAAAAACACTTTTGAGTTCTGACTTTATTTCTTCTTGTTTTCTTATTTTCAATGGAATTCATTCTACTGTTTTCACATTTACCATTCATGGATATTTGGACAGAATTACACGGCCACAGGTCAACCACTATGACCGTGATTCCCTTTCTGAGAATGAGGAAGGATGTGGTCAGTGAGGTTTTTTCATCTTATTTTACTGCTTTGCAAGATGACACTTTTTATTCATTTTATTTCTTACATTTATTATGTCAGATGCTATTGTGAATGTATAAACTTTCTCCATTTATGTATGCATGCATGTATGTATTTATCTATTAATTTTGGGATGGAGTCTGGCTCTAAGCTGGAGCTAAGTTTTTTGTTTTGTTTTGTTTTGTTTTGTTTTGTTTTGTATAGATCAGGTTTCCCCATGTTTGCCAGGCTAGTCTAGAACTCCTGACCTCAGGTAATCCACCTGCCTTAGCCTCCCAAAGTGCTGAGATTACAGGCATGAGCCACCGCACTCGGCCTCTCCATTTATTTACATCTTTAATTTCTCCTCAGCATCTTTTGTAATTTTTAGTATCCACGTCTTTCACTTCTTTTATTACATTTCTTCCCATTCATTTTATTATTTTGGAGGCTTTGTAAATGAAATTGCTCTCCTCATTTCATTTTTAAATTATTGTTCGTTCGTATACAGACACATGATTGATTTTGGTGAATATATCTCCTATCCTGCTAGGAATGTGTGGTACTTTTCAACTCCAGAGCTTCATTTAGTTTTATGGGTTTTGTTTTTGTTTTTTTTGAGACGGAGTCTCGCTCTGTCTCCCAGGCTGGAGTGCAGTGGTGCAATCTCGGCTCACTGCAAGCTCCGCCTCCCGGGTTCACGCCATTCTCCTGCCTCAGCCTCCCGAGTAGCTGGGACTACAGGCGCCCGCCACCACGCCCGGCTAATTTTTTTGTATTTTTAGTAGAGACGGGGTTTCACCTTGTTAGCCAGGATGGTCTCGATCTCCTGACCTCGTGATCCACCCGCCTCGGCCTCCCAAAGTGCTGGGATTACAGGCGTGAGCCACCGCGCCCGGCCTTAGTTTTATGTTTTAATAATTTCACAGGATAGCACTGTGCTCACTGGTCGTTTCATGTAATTAATATTTCTGTTAGCCGGGAGCGATGGCACATGCCTGTAATCCCAGCTACTCAGAAAGCTGAGATGGGAGAAATGCTTGAACCCGGGACGCGGCAGCTGCGGTGAGCCGAGATTGCACCATTGTAAGCCAGCCTGGGCAACAAGAGCGAAATTCCGTCACCAAAAAAAAAAAAAAAAAAAAAAAAATTCTAACTTCGTGGATTTATTGGGGTCTAGATTGCCATCCTTCAGATTTCTTGCTCTAGCGTAATGACTCTGTTGCTGTTGTTCATTGCAAGTTTCATTTTTTATTTTATTTACTTTTTAGCAGCTTTATTTAGCTACAATTGTTCCACTAAAAAACCCTCTCACTTAATATACACAATTAGATGAATTTGGACGTATGCAATAACCCCTTAGAAGACATTCACGTGCATGTGTTGTTAGCTTTTTGCTTCTCACAAGAACGTATTTCAGGCACTTCCATCTCCACGCTACACATGGGGAAATAGAGGCTCACAGAGGAGAAAGGGTGTGGTCCCGGTCACACCTGTCCCTGGTCCTCCAGGCTGAGGAGCAGAGACCACCCACCTTGGGGCTGCGAGGGTTCGACGCGTATCTCGGGTGCCCTCTTGTGGTCTCAGTGGAGAAACTCCCTGTTTAGTTCTGTTCTTTTCCATCTGCCATTCATTTTTCTCATTCAGTATTTGTTGGTCCTCTCCTGTGCTCTCGCGGTCCATCAATATACAAAACAAACATCCTTGCCATCGAGGAGCTTTTTTTTTTTTTTGAGACGGAGTCTCGCTCTGTCGCCCAGGCTGGAGTGCAGTGGCCCGATCTTGGCTCACTGCAAGTCCCACCTCCCCAGTTCACGCCATTCTCCTGCCTCAGCCGCCCGAGTAAGCTCCATCTTGGCGCGCGCCACTACGCCCAGCTAATTATTGTGTTTTTAGTAGAGATGAGGTTTCACCATGTTGGCCAAGGTGGTCTTGAACTCCTGACCTCGTGATCCGCCCGCCTCGGCCTCCCAAAGTGCTGGGATTACAGGCTTGAGACACCGCGCCCGGCAGTTAAAAAAAAAAAAAAATCATACTTGGCCTGCTTTTGAGACCACAAGAAAGGGATGATGCATCTCCCACTCCAGGCTTCTGGGACACACCTCTCTCTTCCTCCCTCTTGGCTTTCCCAGGCTGCTGCCAGGGTATCATCCAGAGTTCCTTTCCCTTTTATCTCTCCATCGTTGCTGTTCTTGGCCGCTTTCTCCCAGGCCTCTGCCCTTCCCGCTGTTCCATCCAGAACCAGCCACATAATTGGTGGGGTCTATTGCAAATGAGAACTCGACGTCCCTTCTTCAAAACGTAAGGAATTTCAAATTGGTGACAGCTGAGCGTTAACAGAAGCGTGGTGGCCAGGCACAGTGGCTCATTCCTGTGATCCCAGCACTTTGGGAGGCCAAGGCCGGCCGATCACCTGAGGTTAGGAGTTTGAGACCAGCCTGGCCAATATGGTGAAACCCCGTCTACTAAAAATACAAAAATTAGCCGGGCGTGGTGGCACATGCCTATAATCTCAGCTAATCAGGAGGCTGAGGCAGGAGAATGGCTTCAACCCGGAAGGTGGAGAATGCAGTGAGCTGAGATCGCACCATTGCACTCCAGCCTGGATGACAGAGTAAGTCTGCATCTCAAAAAAACAAACAAACAAAATTCCATCCCAATAACCCTTAAAAAAAACTTTTGCGTTCTGACTTTATTTCTTCTTGTTTTCTTATTTTCAATGGAATTCATTCTACTGTTTTCACATTTACCATTCAGGGATATTTGGACAGAATTACATGGCCACAGGTCAACCACTATGACCATAATTCCCTTTCTAAGAATGAGGAAGGATGTGGTCAGTGGGGTTTTTTCATATTATGTTACTGCTTTGCAAGATGACACTTTTTGTTAATTTTTATTTCTTATATTTATTATTTTGGATGCTATTGTGAATGTATGAACTGTTTCTCCATTTTCGTATGTATTTATTTATTTTGAGATGGAGTCTGGCTCTGCCATCCAGGCTGGAGTGCAGTGGCACGATCTCGGCTCACTGCAACCTGTGCCTCCCAGGTTCAAGCGATTCTCCTGCCTCAGCCTCCTGAGTAGCTGGGATTACAGGTGTGCACCACCATGCCTGGCTAATTTTTGTTTGTTTGTTTTTTAGTGGAGACCAGTTTCCCCATGTAGGCCAGGCTGGTCTCCAACTCCTGATCTCAAGTAACCTGCCTGCCTTGGCCTCCCAAAATGCTGAGATTACAGGCGTGAGCCACCACGCTCAGCCTCTCCGTTTATTTAGATCTTTAACTTCTCAGCATCTTTTGTAATTTTTAGTATACACGTCCTTTATTTCTTTTATTAAATTTCTTCCCACTCATTTTATTACTTTGGAGGCTTTGTAAATAAAATTCCTCTCCTCACTTCGTTTTTAAATTATTGTTCATTAGTATACAGACACATGATTGATTTTGCTGAATGTCTCCCATCCTGCTAGGAATGTATTGCACTTTTCAACCAGAGCTTCCATTTAGTTTTAGGTTTTAATAATTTCACAGGATAGCATTGTGCTCACTGGTTGCTTCATGTAATTAATATTTTTATTAGCCAGGCGTGATGGCACATGCCTGTAATCCCAGCTACTCGGAAGCCTGAGGTAGGAGAATTGCTTGAATCCAGTAGGCAGAGGTTGAGGTTATCCGAGATCGCGCCATCGCACTCCAGCCTGGGCAACAAGAGTGAAACTCCGTCTCAAAAAAAAAAAAAAATACATACACACACACACACACACACACACACACACACACACACACACACCCCTTTGTGGATTTATTGGGGTCTGGATTGCCATCCTTCAGATTTCTTGCTCTAGCCTAACGGCTCTGTTGTTGTTCAATGCAAGTTTTATTTTTTATTTTATTTACATTTTAGCAGCTTTGTTTAGCTATAATTGTTCTACTAAAAAACCCTCTCACTTAATGTACACAATTAGATGAATTTGGACACGTGCAACCCCTTGGAAGACATTCACGTGCATGCGTTGTTGGGTTTTTGCTTCTCACAAGAACGTATTTCAGGCATTTCCATCTCCACGCTACACATGGGGAAATAGAGGCTCACAGAGGAGAAAGGACGTGGTCCAGGTCACCTGTCCCTGGTCCTCCAGGCTGAGGAGCAGAGAGACCACCCACCTTGGGGCTTCAAGGGTTTGACACGTATCTTGAGTGCCCTCTTGTGGTCCCAGTGGAGAAACTCCCTGTTTAGTTCTGTTCTTTTCCATCTGTCATTCACTTTTCTCATTCAGTATTTGTTGGTCCTGTCCTGTGTGCCAGACACTGTTTGAGGCTCTAGCGGTCCATCAATATGCAAAACATCCTTGCCATCGAGGAGCTTATATTCTTTTTTTTTTTTTTTTTTGAGATGGAGTCTCGCTCGTCTCCCAGGCTGGAGTGCAGTGGCGCGATCTCGGCTCACTGCAACCTCCGCCTCCTGGGTTCAAGCGATTCTCCTGCCTCAGCCTCCCGAGTAGCTGGGATTACAGGCATGCATCACCACGCCCCGCTAATTTTTTGTATTTTTAGTAGAGATGGGGTTTCATCGCATTAGCCAGGATTGTCTCCATCTCCTGACCTCGTGATCTGCCCACCTCGGCCTCCCAAAGTGCTGGGGATGACAGGCCTGACCCAGAACGCCCAGCCGAGGAGCCTATATTCTTGCAGAAGGAGACAGACAGTAACCCTTGGGCATAATAAGCACATTCACAGCTTACTAGAAGGTGAAAATGATCTGGATAAATGAGAAAGTGCAGCAGTGGTCCAGTGGTCTGGAGTGTGCAAAGTTCAGCAGGGGGAACAGTGTGGTGGATGCAGACTGAGAGCCAGGGAAAGGGAAGAGGCCATGACTACCCTGAGTGAGCTGGAAGGAAACACGAATCACTCCAAGTAGAACACCCCTTCACTGAGGATTCTTCTTCCCAAACTTCCTCTAGAAAGCTGAGCTGCCACTCACCACAGGGAAGGCTCGGCCCATTAGACTTCAAACGTCCTCAGCAATTCCCTGCCCACCTCTTTCTAGGAGTCAAGATTCCTCCATCCTGATCTAGACCAGCATCTGGTGACCCCTAGAAACCTGTCCTGGAAGCCTCACAAGGCTCTTCACACTCAGTTTGTGATATGATGACCCCAGAGTTGTGCAGTGCACAACCTACGCAGCTGGACATGATGGGCCTGGCGCTCTTCCTCTGTGCTCCCACTGAGCTCTGTGCTGACTATGTCATTCCACTGGGTGGTGCCATGTCAACTTCCCTCCTCTCCTCTCAATATCCTGTAAGCTCTTTAAGGATAAGATAGGATCAAAGTTCCATCCATGTCCCTGCTACTCAGAAGAGGGGCTGAAACATTTAAAAGGGAAACGTTGGAACCCCCTCAATAGCACTAGACTTAAGAAAACAAATTGCCGGGTAGTGATGATTAGATTGCTATAAAAGTCTGAATAATTACAAAAAGATTCTAGGAACTGGTGTATAATTATGTAGGGGCACTGGCAGTATGTACTCACTGAAATCAGCTAAGGAATCATGGTGCAGTCTCAGGAACCAGCTGGGCACAGTGGCTCAGGTCTGTAATCCCAGGACTTTGAGAAGCTGAGACGCGTAGATTGCTTGAGTCTAGGAGTTCAAGACCAGCCTGGGCAACATGGCGAAACCCTATCTCTACACAGTTAGCTGGGCATGCTGGCACACACCTGTAGTCCCAGCTACTCAGAAGGATGAGGCAGGAGAATTGCTTGAACCCGGGAGGCAGAGGTTGCAGTGAGCTGAGATTGTGCCACTGCACTCCAGCCTGGGTGATACACTGAGACTCTGTCTCAGAAAAAAAAAAAAAAAAAAAAAGTTGGGAATGTATCCAGATGAACCAAAAAACCTAAAACCTTTCTTTGACCTTCCCTGTTCTTCCAGATACCTTATCTCTCTTTCCCTTCACAGAGGACACCCTGGGTTATCTGCTGACCCCTCCGCCTTTCCTGGCCTCCAATCTCTCTCTCTCTGGCCTTCTCCACTGCAATCTGACCTCTCCCTGCCCACCCCATTTGGGTCTGCTCTCACCCAGGCCCCCAGTGAACTCTGGATTCTTACTGAGTCCAGTGGACCTCACTCCCTCTTTTTTTTTTTTTTTTTAATCATACTTAGCCTGCTTTTGAGTCCACAAGGAAGGGACGGTGCATCTCCCACTCCAGGCTTCTGGGACACACCTCTCTCTTCCTCCCTCTTTGCTTTCCCAGGCTGCTGCCAGGGTATCATCCAGAGTTCCTTTCCCTTTTATCTCTCCATCGTTGCTCTTCTCGGCCACTTTCTCCCAGGCCTCTGCCCTTCCCGCTGTTCCATCCAGAACCAGCCACATAATTGGTGGGGTCTATTGCAAATGAGAACTCAGGATCCCTTCTTCAAAACGTAAGGAATTTCAAATTGGTGACAACTGAGCATTAAAAGAAGTGTGGTGGCCGGGCGCGGTGTCTCATTCCTGTGATCCCAGCACTTTGGGAGGCCAAGGCCGGCCGATCACCTGAGGTTAGGAGTTCGAGACCAGCCTGGCCAATATGGTGAAACCCCGTCTCTACTAAAAACACAAAAATTAGCCAGGTGTGGTGGCGCATGCCTGTAATTGCAGCAACTCAGGAGGCTGAGGCAGGAGAATCGCTTGAACCCGGGAGGTGGAGGTTTCAGTGAGCTGAGATCTCACCATTGGCACTCCAGCCTGAGCAACAGATAGAGACTCTGTCTAAAAAACAAACAAAAAGGCCAGGTGCAGTGGCTCACGCCGGTAATTCCAGCACTTTGGGAGACCGAGGCGGGCGGATCACCTGAGGTCAGGAGTTCAAGACCAGCCTGGCCAACATGGTGAAACCCCGTCTCTACTAAAAATACAAAAAGTAGCTGGGCGTGGTGGCGTGCGCCTGTAATCCCAGCTACTGGAGAGGCTGAGGCGGGAGAATTGCTGGAACCCGGGAGGCAGAGGTTGCAGTGAGCCAAGATCTTGCCTTTGACACTCCAGCCTGAGCAACAGAGTAAGGCTTTGTCTCAAAAACAAACAAAAAAAGAAAGGTGCAGGGCCCTCCGAGCATGGGTCACTGGGCAACCCATGAAGCTGGCCCTGCTTTGGCCCCGCCCCCTCCCAGGACCTGACCTCTGAGGGGCACTGTGGTAGCAGAATAGCCCCACCCACCCCCGCACATGCAAGATGTCCACGCACAAATCCCTGCGACCCGTGAATAGGTCTGCAGATGCACTTAAAATTGTGGATCTTACGTCAGGGAGATTATCCTGGCGTGATGGTTAGTTGTTGTTGTTGTTGTTTTGGTTTGTTTGTTTTTTGGGTCTCGCTCTATCGCCGAGGCTGGAGTGCAATGGCGAGATCTCAGCTCACTGCAAGCTCCGCCTCCCGGGTTCACGCCATTCTCCTGCCTCAGCCTCCCGAGTAGCTGGGACTACAGGCGCCCGCCACCATGCCCGGCTAATTTTTTGTATTTTTAGTAGAGACGAGGTTTCACCGTGTTAGCCAGGATGGTCTCGATCTCCTGACCTCGTGATCTGCCCGCCTCAGCCTCCCTAAGTGCTGGTGCTGGGATTACACACGTGACAAATAGATCTCTTATATACATATCTCTTTTTCTTTTTTTCGTCCTTTTTTTTTTTTTTTTTTTTTTTTTTAGAGCGAGTCTTGCTCTGTTGTCCAGGCTGGAGTGCAGTGGCTCGATCTGGGCTCACTGCAACCTCCGCCTCCTGCGTTCAAGCGAGTATCCTGCCTCAGCCTCCCGAGTACCTGAGACTACACACCACTGCGCCCAGCTGATTTTTGTATTTTTTTAGTAGAGTCAGCGTTTCACCAAGTTGGCCAGGCTGGTCTTGAGCTTCTGACCTCAAGTGATCCACCCGCCTTGGCTTCCCAAAGTGCTGGGATTACAGGCGTGAGCCACTGCACTTGGCCTTTATATATATCTTAACGTATGTACATAATACATGTAATGAACCACTGGCACATGCTGCACACGGATGAACCTGCTTATGTGAAGGAAGTCAGATAGGTAAGGCTGTATGATGTGTGATTCCATTTATGCGAATGTCCAGAAGAGGTAATCCATGAATCAGAAAACAGGGGAGTGGTTTCCAGGGGCTGCAGAGAGCGGGGCATGGGAGTGACCGCTTAATAGGGTTTTCTTTAGGGGTGATGAAAATGTTTGGGAACTTGATAGAAAGGATGGCTACACAATTACCAGTGTACCAATTAGGTACGTTCCATTGGGAATGTACTAAATGTCACTGAACTGTACACCTTAAGATGGTTAATTCTGGCCCGATGCAGTGGCTCACACCTATAATCCCAGCACTTTGGAAGCCGAGGCAGGCGGATAACCTGAGGTCGGGAGTTCGAGACCAGCCTGACCAACGTGGAGAAACCCCGTCTCTACTAAAAATACAAAATTAGCTGGGCGTGGTGGCAGGCACCGGTAATCCCGGCTACTCAACAGGCTGAGGCAGGAGAATCGCTTGAACCTGGAAGGTGGAGGTTGCAGTGAGTGGAGATCGCGCCATTGCACTCCAGCCTGGGCAACAAGAACAAAACTCCGTCTCAATTAAAAAAAAAGAAAAAAAAAAGATGGTTAATTTTATGTTATGTGAATTTTACATCAATAAAAAATACTTAATAAAAGTCTGTTATATATATATATATATATATATATATATAGTTTTTCTGATTACTGAGTTTCTGGTGACCACTGCCCCCTCCCCCCTTAAATTTTGCTGTGGGTGCTGAGTCCTGACCTACTTCACTCCATCCCCTGCGGGGACCCCAGTGGGAACTTTCTAACACCTGGATCTTTCCCTGCCATTCCTCCGCGGTCCCCCCACGCCTGCAGGGCAAACTGAAGCTCCCAGTGGCTTTCAAGCTGGCTTCTCCAGGCAAATCAAACTCCACCTGGTGTCTGAGAACCCTCTGCCCCACCCAGCTTCCCCACTCTGCTCCGATATCCATCCTCCTCTCCCTGGGCTCCATCAACTCTCACTCATCCTTAAGACCCAGCTCAAGGCTGCTTCCTGTTATCGCAAATTGACTGTCTTCTCTCCAGCACTACAACCCCAGCCCCAACTAGGGGTAAAACCACTGACCTAGCCTCCCACCTGGGCCTCCCCTTTCTCTCACTGAGCTGCCTCCTACCTGGGCTTCCCTCTCCCTCTCCCTCTGACCCTGACCCAGGCTCCAACCTGCATCTCCACCTCCCTCCCGCTGACCCAGCCTCCCACCTGGGCCTCCACCTCCCTCCCACAGACCTAGACTCCCACCTGGGCTTCCCACCTTCTTCCCACTGAGCTGCATCCTGCCTTGGGACTCTGCTCTCCCCCTCCGCTCTCTCTCCCTGCCCGCACCGCCCTGAAGGAATTGCCCTAACACTCAAACCTCACTCTCTTGTCATCAATAGACACTGGTGCTTAGAATGAGATATGAGCTTTCTATGACGGAGTGGCTCCAGGCAGGGAGGTTCATCTAGGGGACGCCGCAGCAAAGCCAGAGCTGCCCCTCTCAGACACCCTCCATGCTCTTCATCCTCCTGCTGCTTTCACTGTCTGACCTGCCTCTCTTCTCTCTTTCTCTCTCTCTCTCTCCCTCTCTCTCTCTCCATACAGCTGCAATCTGGAAGAAATTACTCTTCTAAACAGCCAGACTTCCCCAGTTTCAGGAAATTCCAAGCTGTGCAGGGGAGGGGCCAGGCTGGGGGCGCGCCCTGTCCAGCCCCACCCCCTCTGCCAGTTCCCCCTGCACACTTAGTCCTGGCCTCCTCCCGCCCCCACACTCCGCCCAGAGGGGCCTCAGCTTTTCCACCACTGCTTTCTAGTCCTTTAACTCCTAGAGGCAAACTTTTGGGGGATAAGAAAGCCTGGGAGGGGCCTGTGCCAAAACCCTCTCTGCCTGGGGACTGGGCGGTGATTCCGCTTCTGCCTGGGCTCCTGCCATGGCCCCCGAGAGGGGCTGACACTTTAGCTCCCGGTGCAGGTAAAGGGGCCTTATGCCAGGGCTTGCCAGGGGTGGGGCCTGGACTCCTGGGTCTGAGGGAGGAGGGGCTGGGGGTCTGGACTCCTGGGTCTGAGGGAGGAGGGGCTGGGGGTCTGGACTCATGAGTCTGAGGGAGGAGGGGCTGGGGGGTCTTGACTCCTGGGTCTGAGGGAGGAGGGGCTGGGGGGTCTTGACTCCTGGGTCTGAGGGAGGAGGGGCTGGGGGGTCTTGACTCCTGGGTCTGAGGAAGAAGGGGCTGGGGGTCTGGACCCCTGAGTCTGAGGGAGGAGGGGCTGGGGGTCTGGACTCCTGGGTCTGAGGGAGGAGGGGATGGGGCCTGGATTCCTGGGTCTGAGGGAGGAGGGGCTGGGGGCCTGGACTCCTGGGTCTGAGGGAGGAGGGGATGGGGGCCTGGACTCCTGGGTCTGAGGGAGGAGGGGCTGGGGGTCTGGACTCCTGGGTCTGAGGGAGGAGGGGCTGGGGGCCTGGACTCCTGGGTCTGAGGGAGGAGGGGCTGGGGGGGTCTTGACTCCTGGGTCTGAGGGAGGAGGAAGGGCTGGAGGTCTGGACTCCTGGGTCTGAGGGAGGAGGGGCTGGGGGGTCTTGACTCCTGGGTCTGAGGGAGGAGGGGATGGGGCCTGGATTCCTGGGTCTGAGGGAGGAGGGGCTGGGGGTCTGGACTCCTGGGTCTGAGGGAGGAGGGGCTGGGGGTCTGGACTCATGAGTCTGAGGGAGGAGGGGCTGGGGGGTCTGGACTCCTGGGTCTGAGGGAGGAGGGGCTGGGGGCCTGGACTCCTGGGTCTGAGGGAGGAGGGGCTGGGGGTCTGGACTCCTGGGTCTGAGGGAGGAGGGGCTGGGGGTCTGGACTCATGAGTCTGAGGGAGGAGGGCCTGGGGGCCTGGACTCCTGGGTCTGAGGGAGGAGGGGCTGGGGGCCTGGACTCCTGGGTCTGAGGGAGGAGGGGCTGGGGTCTGGACTCCTGGGTCTGAGGGAGGAGGGCCTGGGGGCCTGGACTCCTGGGTCTGAGGGAGGAGGGGCTGGGGGCCTGGACTCCTGGGTCTGAGGGAGGAGGGGCTGGGGGTCTGGACTCCTGGGTCTGAGGGAGGAGGGGCTGGGGGGTCTTGACTCCTGGGTCTGAGGAAGAAGGGGCTGGGGGCCCCTGACTTTCGGGTCTGGGGTGGGATTAAGAAAGCGAAGATCTAGGACGCCTAGGACCTGAGGGCGAAGGAGGAGGTGGCTCTACGGACCCGGATGCCTGGCTCCTGAATCTCCCTCCGGGTTCCACATGACACTTTCCTTACCAGGTGAGAACCCGCCCGGAGGAAGAAGGAAGGCGCGGGCCGGGGATTAGGAGACGGAGGCGGACTCGGAGCCAGGGAACCAGGGGTCCGGGCTAGAGCTGGAGTCGTGAGCGCGCGCCCGCCCCGCTCTGGGAGGACCGCGAGGTAAGGCGCGGTGGGGACAGGGGTCCTGGGTCCCGGTCGGGAGGGAAAAGGGCCGCTGAATTCCCGGCCGCAGCCACGTGGCTGCAGGAAGCGCGCAGTGAAGCCCTCGCCGGGCCGGGGGTCTCCCCATCTGGGGTCCCCCGACCCGGCTGCACCGCAGCTCCCACGGGTCTGAGAACCAGTTGGGCCGGATCTAGAGTGGGTTGTTATTTCCGTCCTGGCGGGGCCGGGACTGAGAGAGGACAGAGGTGAACCAGCTGTGCCCGCCACCCTGCAGCTGGAGCCGTGGCCCTGCCCCAGCAGGAAAGAGAGGGGTGGGCGGAGGCGGGGGGAGAACGCGCGGCCCGGGCCTCCCCGGGCTCCACGGTCGCGCCCCGCTTTCTGCCTGTTCCACGTTGGTCACAAACAACAGCCCCTCTGTCCCGAGCCCTGGCAGCGTGAGGGACTTTTTCCGAGCATGACCTCATTGCTTTAAACACAATTCAACCAGAGGGAGGTCAGAGGCTTCTATTTAAGAGGACACGCAGGCTGGCAGAAGTGAAGCGACTTACCCAGGGTCTCAGAGCTAGGGCGCAGAGGTGGCATTCGAAAACGACTTCCAACTCGTTGTTCTGGTCTGGACTGGAGAGGAAAAAAGACAATCAAGGGTGTCAGAGGAAATCTCTCGCCTTCATATCAAATCAGAACATTATTATTTTTTTTCTCATGGGGTGGCATGCCCGTAGTCTCCTATGGGGAGCTAAGAGTTCGTCTGGATTCCAGATCTGGAGCGCAGCATTTGCTACTGTGTGACCCAGGGCAAGTGACTTAACTTCTCTGTGTCTCAGCCATCGCGCATCTGTAAAATGGAGTTGTCCTGAAGATTAAATAAATTAGTTCATTCATGGGGAGGCACTCAGGCTGGTGCCTGGCCCAGGATAAGCACTTGGAAAATAAAATTTCGGCACCCTCAGTGTAGTCTTTCTTTCTTCCCTTTCTTTCTTTCCTTCTTTTTTTCTTTCTTTTTCCTTCCTTCCTTCCTTCTTTCCTTTCTTTCTTTCTCCTTCCTTTCCTTTCTTTTTCTTTCTCTTTCTTTCTCTTTCCTTCCTTCCTTCCTTTTTTCCCTCCCTCTCCTCCCTCCTTTCCTTCTCTCTCTTTTTCTCTCTCTCTCTCCTTTTCTTTTCTTTTCTTCTTGAGACAGGGTCTCTTTCTGTTGCCCAGGCTGAAGTGCGGTGGGACGATCATACCTCACTGCAGCCTCAAACTCCTGGGCTCAAGGGATCTTCCCTTTTCAGCCTCCCAGGTAGCTGGAACTGCAGGTGCATGACACAGCACCTGGCTAATTTTTTATTTTTATTTTTGTAGAGAGATCATCTCACTTTGTTGCGCATTCTGGTCTCAAACTCCTGGGCTCAAGTGATCCTGCTGTCTCAGCCTCCCAAAGAGCTGGCATTGTAGGTGTGAGCCACGGCGCCCAGCCACAAACAAGAGTTCCAACCCCTGTTTTTTGAGGAGTAAACTGAGCTTTAGGCTGAGGAAGCCAGTTTGGGATCGCACAAGAAGGAAATGGCAAAATTTGAGCCCAGATGTGTGTGATGTCAGAAACCAAGACTTTATGTGTGTTGCCAGGTGCTGAAAAGTGGTGGCAACGGATAGGGCAATGGAAGGGGGATGCGAGGTGCATGCTGGGAGCTGGGTCTGACCAGAGGCAGGGGCTGAGAGCTGTCCACGAGTCAAGAGGCAGCAGAGAGTGGAGGCAGCCAGCTCTAGACACTGGAGTTCCCTAGAGCTGGCTTTGTGATCTTGGTCAGTCACGTCCTGTCTCGGATCACCCATTTCCTTCTCTGGAACACTGGGAGAATGATCCGAGGTGTGACTCCATTGAGCATATGTTAATTGAACATTCCCTGTGCGCTGGGCACTGTGCCAAGACTTGCAGGGACATATCCCTCCACCAATTCTTGCAAAAGGACTGGGAAGTATTAGATTAATATCATGCCATTTTCAAGATAAGGAAATGAGGTCAGAAAGGTCAAGTAAGTTGCTCAAAGCCACAGAGCGATCAGCACAGCCAGATTCAAACCTGTGCAATGGACTTTCTGAATTCCACTTTTTCACCTCTGACCCACAGCAGAGCAAGTGCTGAGATCATAGGCTCTGTTAGCAGCTAGAGAGGATTTTTTTTTTTAAACTGTGGATCCAGAAGATACATTAATGAGCTGAGCTCAACATTTAAAAATAAAATAGATTACAATAGAAAATATCAGAGTAGGGGCCGGGTGTGGTGGCTCATGCCTGTAATCCCAGCACTTTGGGAGGCCGAGGTGGGCAGATCACGAGATCAGGAGTTCGAGACCAGCCTGGCCAACATGGTGAAACCCCATCTCTACTATAAAATACAAAAATTAGCCAAGCATGGTGGTGTGCACCTATAATCCCAGCTACTCGGGAGGCTGAGGCAGGAGAATCACTTGAACCTGGGAGGCGGAGGTTGCAGTGAGCCGAGATCGCGCCATTGCACTCTTGCCTGGGTGACAGAGCAAGACTCCATCAAAAAAGAAAAGAAAGAAAGAAGGAAGGAAGGAGAAAGAAAGAAAAGAAAGGAAGGAAGGAAGGAGGGAGGGAGGGAAGAAAAGAAAGAAAGAAAGAAAGAAAGAAAGAAGGAAGGAAGGAAGGAAGGAAGGAAGGAAGGAAGGAAGGAAGGAAGGAATCAGAGTATCTACCACGTTGTAAGACAAGTAAGTATTGGCCGGGCTTACTGGCACACACCTGTAATCTCAGCACTTTGGGAGGCCAAGGCGGGCAGATTGCTTGAGCTCAGGAGTTTGAGACCAGCCTGGGCAACATGGTGAAACCCCATCTCTACAAAAAAAAAAAAAATACAAAAATAACACTACATGGTAGCATGAGCCTGTAGTCCCAGCTACTCAGGAGTCTGAGGTGGGAGGATCGCTTGAGTCCGGGAGGCGGAGGTTGCAGTGAGCCAAGATCTCACCACCGCACTCCAGCTGGGTGACAGAGTGAGACCCTGTCTCAAAACAAGACAAATCTTGTTTCTTAAAATTTTTGTTTCCATTATGGGGAAGGAGAGAGTGGAGATTGTGTGCTAGGTAACGATAAAAATATATTTATTCATCTAGGTTGAGGTCAGAGAAATTTGATAAATGCTGCAGAGGTAGTAAATCAAAACTGGTTTCCCCATGGAAATCAATGTAAAGAGTGTGTGTGTGTGTGTGTGTGTGTGTGTGTAGGCCAGTCTTCAGAATCTAGCCATCTACAATTATTTTAAATCCCTTTGGCTTTCATTTTCCTCCATATTATCACCAATACTTCCCAGGGTGCCTGTTACGGTGAAAACAATGTCAGCGGCTTTGTCTTTCTCATAGTGTTCTATCCAACCTAATTTTTGTTCCACAATTATTGTTAGGGAAATATTTTCCCCCCAACGCTAGCATTACCCATTGGTTAGCACTATTACAAGTATAGTTTTCTTTGATCAGACTTTTCTATGTATCCTGAAAGGAAGGTAGTGTTATTTTATTTATCTTACAGATAGAAAAGTAAACAGGGAAATAAAGTAATTTATTGCAGTTCATACAGCTGGCAAAGGGTAGGGCTTCAACTGAAATAGGTTTTTATTATTGCGATAACAGTGACTGTTAAAACAAAAGTACAAGGTCATCAAAGTCCCTCCCAGAAGTTCCACACAAAACATGCAATGACCAGGATATGGGCAGACTCTGTGGCTGCGTTTCTATTTCATATTGAATTTAGGCCGGGCGTGGTGGCTCATGCCTGTATTCCCAACACTTTGGGAGGCCAAGGCAGGCGGATCACCTGAAGTCATGAGTTTGAGTCCAGCCTGGCCAACATAGTGAAACCTCATCTCTACTAAAAATACAAAAATTTGCAGGGCATGGCAGCGCACACCTGTAATTCCAGCCACTCAGGAGGCTGAGGCAGGAGAATCGCTTGAACCCCAGCCTGGGCAACAGAACAAGACTCCGTCTCAAAAAAAAAAAAAAAAAGAATTTGGTGCAGCTATGGGCAATAAAGCACCTAGTTTACAATGCAGATGCTGCCAGCTTCAAATTTATGCAATTCTTCCCATTTTTTTTAACATAGGGCTTTTTATTTTTTTTTTGAGACAGAGTCATACTCTGTCACCCAGGCTGGAATGCAATGGCGCGATCTCAGCTCACCGCAACCTCTGCCTCCCAAGTTCAAGCGATTCTCCTGCCTCAGCCTCTCAAGTAGCTGGGATTACAGGCATGCACCACCACAACCAGCTAATTTTGTATTTTTTTTTTTTAGTAGAGATGGAGTTTCACCATGTTGGTCAGGCTGGTCTCAAAGTCCTGACCTCAGGTGATCCACCCGCTTCAGCCTCCGAAAGTGCTGGGATTACAGGTGTGAGCCACCATGCCTGGCTAGGGAATTTATATTATTATTTTAGAAAACATAAGACATCATATTGTTAGGTTGTAGTCTCAAGATCAGGTACAGTTGGCCAGGCGTGGTGGCTCATGCCTGTAATCCCAGCACTTCGGGAGGCCGAGGCGGGCAGATCACGAGGTCAGGAGTTCAAGACCAGCCTGACCAACATGGTGAAACCCTGTCTCTACTAAAAATACAAAAATTAGCGTCTCAAAAAAAAAAAAAAAAAAAGATCAGGTACAGTTGCCCCTTGGTAGCAGTGATGGGACTGGTTCTGGGACCCCTATGGATACCCAAATATGCAGATGTTTAAGTCTCTTATATAAATGCCCTAGTATTTGCATATAACCTATGTACATCCTCTCCTATACTTTAAATCATCTCTAGATTACTTATAATGCATAATACAATGTAAATGCTTTGCAAATAATTGTTATATTGTTTGAAACTTGTACTCATTTTTTATTACTGTATTTTTTTCCCCAGTATTTTTTATCAGCAGTTGATTGAATCTGCTGATGCGGAACCCACAGATACCAAGGACTGTAATTCAAATCATAAAATGCACCCTAGGCAAAGCCCACCTGGGCCTCTTCCTCGTGTGCGTGGTGGGCTCTAGGCAGGATCTGCTTTGCTTAATGGACAGAGTCAGCCCTGTCTTCAGAACAGGAGCCTGGGAATTTCCATTTTTGACAAGCTGGAGTTTTCTTTTTCTTTTTATAGAGACAGGGTTTCACTCCTGTTGCCCAGGCTGGAGTGCAGTGGCCAATACAGTGACACGATCTCGGCTCCCTGCAACCTCCGCCTCCGGGGTTCAAGCGATTCTCCTACTTTAGCTGGGATTACAGGCATGCGCCACCATGCCCCGCTAATTTTTGCATTTTTTATAGAGATGGGGTTTCACCATGTTGCTCAGGCTGGTCTCGAACTCCTGGCCTCAAGCGATCCGCCCGCCTCGGCCTCCCAAGGTGCTGGGATTACAGGAGTGAGCCACCGCACCCGGGCCAACAAGCTGGAGTTTTCTATCAGTCAAGTCTGGGAAGCACTCTGAAGGGTTTGTGAAATATTTGTTACTTGACCTCTAGGAAGGCTCAAGTATTCGCTCTCAGGAGGATCGGCATAGCATGGTGTTCATAGGCATTCTGGAGTCAGGTTAGATCCAAATGTGAGCTCAGCAGCTGTGCCCATGGGACCTCCTGGAGTCTCATCTTACCCCATCTGTGAAACGGGAGGCCGGGCGCGGTGGCTCACGCCTGTTATCCCAGCATTTTGGGAGACTGAGGCGGGTTGATCACCTGAGGTCAGGAGTTCAAGACCAGCCTGGCCAACATTGTGAAACCCCGTCTCTACAAAAATACAAAAATTGGCTGGGTATGGTGGCGGGTGCCTGTAATCCCAGCTACTCGGGAGACTGAGGAGGAAGAATCGCCTGAACCCGGGAGGCGGAGGTTGCGGTGAGCCGGGATGGCGCCATTGAACTCCAGCATGGGCGAGACTCCGTCTCAAAAACAAAAATCAAAAAACAAAAAACGGGAACCGTCCCCCATCGTCCTTTGAGCAGTCGCGTGGCTGCGAGCCCCGGGCTGGGGCCGCGCTGACCCTCCCGTGCCCCTCGCAGATGCCCGTGCTGAAGCAGCTGGGCCCCGCGCAGCCCAAGAAGCGGCCTGATCGCGGCGCCCTGTCCATCTCCGCGCCGCTCGGCGACTTCCGGCACACGCTGCACGTGGGGCGCGGCGGCGACGCCTTCGGGGACACCTCGTTCCTGAGCCGCCACGGCGGCGGGCCGCCCCCCGAGCCCCGGGCGCCCCCCGCGGGGGCCCCGCGCTCCCCGCCGCCGCCCGCCGTCCCGCAGTCCGCAGCGCCCTCGCCTGCCGACCCGCTGCTGTCCTTCCACCTGGATCTGGGGCCCTCCATGCTGGACGCGGTGCTGGGCGTCATGGACGCGGCGCGCCCGGAGGCGGCTGCCGCCAAGCCCGACGCGGAACCCCGCCCCGGGACGCAGCCCCCCCAGGCCCGCTGCCGCCCCAACGCGGACCTCGAGCTGAACGACGTCATCGGCCTCTAGGTTCCCTCATTCCCCGCGCCCTTCCCGCCCGGCACCCCACTTCTGTATACATAAACGGCCAAGGTGTGTGCCCGGGCTCTGACTTTTCACTTTGCACGTGGAAAGGGATGAATGATAGGGTCCTGGCGCCTCTGAGAGCCGGATGTGTCACCCGGAGGCCTGGTCCGGGTCCGATGATTGCCCTGGGGTGGGGGTGCGGCTCCTTTAAGAGAGCCCGAGGGCGTGGCCAGGCGGTGCCCCTTGCAGAGGCGGCGGCTCCCGCAGTCCCATTCGTCAAATACTGTGCGCCACCGCCGGCCGGACGTGGTCCTGGGGCCGGGCCAGACTCAGCCACCGCGGGGCCAGCCGAGGCGGGGCTGCAGAGTGCTGCAGCCCCAGGAGTCCTTCTGGCCCTGAACGCCTCAGGTGGACTCCGACCCGGCGGAGCCGCCGTTTACTCTGGGAGCGGCTGCAGAGGGAAGTGTCTGAGAACACTTTTAGAGCAGTAGGGGCCTGGTCTCCGTGGGGGAAGGGTCCGCAGGCATCTTGGTTCTTTAAGGCCCCCGAGGGATGGGGCCGAACATGCAAATGATTTGGACTGAGGGGCCAGGTTCTCGTAAGTTTCCCAGAGGGGCGGGGCCGCAAATGTAAATCACTTGGACTGAGGGCGGGTCCAGGTTCTTTAAAGACGTCCCCTCATGGGCGGGGCACACAGGTATCACCGGGAAAGGGGCGGGGCACCACATGTAAATCACCGGGAAAGGGATGGGACACAGGTAAATCACCCGGAAAGGGGCGGGGCACCACATGTAAATCACCTTAAAACGGACAGGGCACACATGTAAATCACTTGGGGAGAGGCACACACGTAAATCACCCGGAAAGAGGCAGCACAAAAGTATCACTGGGAAAGGGCCAGGGCACGCATGTAAATCACCCGGAACGGGGCGGGACACATGTAAATCACTTGAGAAGGGGAGAGGCACTCGTAAATCACCCGGAAAGGGGCGGGGCATTACATGTAAATTACCCTGAAAGGAGCGGGGAACATATGTAAATCACTTGGGAAGGGGAGAGGCACACATAAAAAAAAAAAAAAAATCACCTAAAAGGGGTGGGGCACTCGTAAATCACCAGGAAAGGGGCGGGGCACCACATGTAAATCACCGGGAACGGGGCGGGGCACTACATGTAAATCACCTAAAGGTCGAGGCACACGTAATCATCCCGAAAGGGGCGGGGCATTACATGTAAATCACCCAGAAAGAGGCAGCACACATCAATCACCGGGAAAGGGGCGGGGCCAGGCTCCCAAGAGCTCCGGGAGACCGAGACTGCCGCAGCCTTTACGCAGCTTGCTTTCCTGGCGCTGGGGGAGGGCGCAGCCGGGAAGTCCCAGAGCAGCGGTGTCAGGCTCTCCACCAAGGAGGGACTGGGCCAGAGTCCTCGCGAGGGCACGCGGCGTGGTCCCCAGAGCTAGGCCGGAGCGCGGGCCGCTGACGCCACTGTCGGGTGAGGCTCGGTGCATCCATGGGGAGCCGCCCTCCGTGCGGGGCGACCTCGTCTGCGCGGCGGGCGTGCCAGTTCCCCGCACCCATGGCAGCGGCCAGAGAGCCGGAGTTGCCGCAGGAAGCCCCCGCCACGGAACCCGCGCCCCCGCCGGCCTGCCGCTTCTTCCTGGAAGGCCGCTGCCGCTTCGGCGCCCGCTGCCGCCAGCCCCACCCTGGGGCGCCGGCGCCGCCTGGCCGCGAGGCGCAGCCGGAGGCCGGGGCCAAGAAGCCGCCGCTGCGCACAGCCGCGGACGTCATCCAGCGCATCCGCTGGGACCCGCGCCTCGACCCCGCCGACTTCTCGGTGGGCTACGTCGACCGCTTTCTGGGTGTGCGCGAGGAGCCCTTCAGCGCCTTTTGCTGGGACCAGCCGCTGGCGGCGCTCGGGCCGGGCGTGCTGGCAGTGCCCCAGCACCGCGTGCGCTTCTTCCGCTTCCATGGCCGCCTTGTGTGGGACCGCGCCTCGCGCACCGACCTCGTCTTTGGCTCTGGCTCGGCGGCGGGACGCGGGCCCACCATCCTGGACGCACCGAACACCGAGGGCGCCCACGGGGCAGAGGGTGCCGAGTGGACACTGGCGGGGACAGGTCAGGAGGCCCAGGCTGCCCCCAAGCGAGGGAGCACAAGGCCGCTCTGCACAGGGCACCAGGAACCAGGCGTGGAGGAACCCGGAGAGCTGGAGGCGGCCCAGGAGAGGGCGCTGGGCACAGCTGCTGATTTGGGAACACTGGCCCCAAGAGGACGCCTCGCCGGAGTGACTGAGGAGGCACTGAAGCCAACAGCAGCCACCAGGACCACATTGCTGGGGGGCAAGGAAGCACAGGCCCTGGGAGTCCCGGGGGGCTCCGCTGAGACGACAGAAGCCGAGTGGGGTCCTGCGGCCTGGCCCGAGGACAAAAGGGCCCGCCTTAGTGTTGCAGCCCCTTGCCAACCGCGCCCCACACATTTTGTGGCCCTCATGGTGACCGAGCCTGGGCTACAAGCAGAAGTGACCAAGGCCCAGGAATACCTGGTCCACGTGGCCCCACACTGCGCCAACTTCCTAGTGCCCTCTCAGAACCTACACCTGACCCTGGCCCTGCTGCGACTGGCAGGCGCTGGGGAGGAGGCCGCTGCCATTGGAGCTCTGAGACGGGCCCTCTTGGCCCCGGGGCTAAATGCACCCCCTCGGCTGAGCTTTAGAAAGCTGGTCCTCCTGGGCCCGCATGTGCTGTGTGCCCCACCCTCTCCCACACTGGAAAGCATGGCACAAGTGCTGAGCCAGAGGCTGGAAGCCGAGGGGCTGAGTACACTACAGTCTCCAGGGCAGCTGCACCCCCACCTCACCGTGGCCAAGGTGCCCCATGGTTCCCAGGTCCACCTCCCCAAGCTGGAGTTCACCCTCAGCCAGGAAGTGGGGTGCCAGCCCCTGCAGACACTCTGGCTGTGCCGTATAGGGAGGACAGGGGGGCCTTTCCAGCCCCTGGCTGAGATCCGCCTGGAGTGACACCCCCAGACCTCTGGAGGAGACAATGGATGCAAACAGCCCACACAGGAAAGACAAAGCAGGAGCGTGCACGCTCTCTCTTTCTCTCTTTAATTTTGGTTTCTCTCAAGCTTCCAAATGGTGCTCAGTGCTCCAAGGAAAGGAAGGAAGGAAGGAAAAGGAGGGGAGAGGAGGGGAAGGGGAGGCAGAGGAGGAACATCTGGAAAAAAAGCAGCCTGACAGTCCAGCTGTTTGCAAACTCATAGCACATCCTCCAGTTACATGGCAGAAGAGGGAGGGAGGGAGGGCCAAAAAGAAAAGGGAGAGGAGGAAGAAAAATAACTTAAATAAACACACACACAAAGAAAAGAGAAGGCAACATGACGTGAGCTGGTGATCCATGAAGGCAGGGAGGGAGGGGAACCGTTTTACCTGTGCTGAACCAAGGGAAGAATGCGGAGAGGGAGGGAGGGAAAGGGGAAAAAAAAATCAGAAGAAACACTGGGGGCAGAGGGAGGAGGGGACACGGAGACAACTTTATACAACTTGAGACGAGGCGGCCCGGCCGGCGTGTCCTCAGTGCGGTGTGGCGGCGGAGGATCTGGTGCTGGTGGTGCTGGCACTTCAGGGTGGGGGGCCGAGGACGGGCACAGTCTCTAAGCAGCTCCCCCACCCCAAACACGGAGGCCCCAAGGGGCTGGGAACAAGAGTCTGTGGCGAAGCAGGTGAGGCAGCGGGCGGTGGGCGGGCTTGCTGGGTGCCCCCGCCGCAGGCGGGCACGGGCTGGACGGCCTGTCTTCTTTCCACTGGCCCCCCGGCATGGGATGGGCCAGGGCGCCGGGTCGGGTACCGGAGTGCAAGCTCGAAAGAGAGAGAGAGAAAACACTGAGACAGCATTAGTGGAGTGAAAGGCGGACACAGATGAGCCTGCAGACCATGCCCCCAACCCTCCGCTGCCCATCCCCTCCTCCCCAATCCCATCCCTCTGAGGCAAAAAATAAAAACGTAGAAAAATCTCTGTACAGACTCCCCGGTGGGAAAACGGGGGCAGGGATGGTGGCTCTTCCTGGAGCGCACTCCCCACAAATAAATTTACAACCCAAGTCCACGGCTCAAAAACAGAATCCGCAAAGGCAGCGCTGGGGGCTGCAGCCCCTGCCCCCGCCCCTCCTCGCTGGGTGCTCAGAAGGCTGACAGCTGCGCCAGGCTGAGGCGGCAGTCGATGCTGGAGTTGTCCGGGCCCGTGTAGGCCAGGCCCAGGGGCTCTAGGAAGGCCCGGCAGGCGGCCTCGCCCTCGAAGGCCAGCTCGGCCTGCAGGTAGGAGACTGGCAGCGCAGGGCGGAAGCTATGGAGACAAGAGGAGAAGGTGATGAGGCGGGCGGGCGGGAGGGCAGGGGAGGGCCCCACGAGCGGGGAGGCCCCCCCATTCGGGTGCCCACAGGATTTCCTCAGCACAGTGCCTGCTGGCTCCCCACCCGCCTCCCAGCCTCCCCACCTCAGGGGCTCGGGGGGGGCCCGGGGGGGGGTTAGTGACCCCAGTCCCCTGTGCCCCCCTCACCCTCACTTACCTGTGCGGGGGCCAGGGAGGAGCGGGGACGGGCAGGGAAGGGCCCAGCGGGCTCCTCCGCTGGCTGAGGGGCAGGGACCAGATGGAGGGAGCAGCACGTGGCAGGGGATGGGGATGGCGGGGCTGCCAGGGCCACCGTGGGGACCCAGCCCTCGCTGCCTCCCCTGCCCTGCGTTACAGTGTCTGGGAAGCCAGGCGCAGGGGTGCCAGCTAGCACTCACCACTACACACTGAAAGCAGTCACTTCCGGCTGCTGCTAAAACACACTACTGACTGAGCATCTAGCACGAGCCAGGTCCTCAGAGCTCCCTGAACCCTCTTCCACAGGGTGCAGCCCTACCCTTTCCACACACACAGGAACCCAGGCACCGAGTGAGGGGCACTAAGTCCTAGAACCCGCTTCTGCTCCAAAGCCAGAGCTTTCCTGGAAGCCCTGGGATCAGAGCCCACTCCGTCTCCCAGTCTCAGCTGGCAGGGCAGGGTCAGCCTCCTTGAGGGGAAGGTGCTGACACAATGAGGTCAATGACAGACTGGCGCCCCACCCACGAGGGGCACTCATGGCTATGTTCCCAACCAAGGCCAATTAGGTATCAATTAACAAGGACACTCGCCCAACCACACACCCCTGTGTAGCACAGAAGCTTGAGAGCCACCATTCATGGGGCCCATCATGGCAGCAGACTAAGCAGCCTCCTGCCTCCCCTTCCTTCTAACTTCCCAAGCTGGTCATGGAGCTCTGTGCACGGCACCCCACATCCTCGTCTGCTCCTGTGACTCCTACCCTGGCTCAGCCTCTCCCTGAAGTTGGCTTGACCCACACTAGATTCCAGAATGAGTCTCCAAACCTCCAGGCTGACAGTCCCTCCCTAGCTCCAAACTATGCTGTGACCATGACCTCACACGGAGGGCCACCTGGCCAGGCTCTCAAGGCCTCCATGCTGTGACCATGACCTCACGTGGAGGGCCACCTGGCCAGGCTCTCAAGGCCCCCATGCTGTGACCACAACCTCACATGGAGGGCCACCTGGCCAGGCTCTCAAGGCCTCCATGCTGTGACCATGACCTCACGTGGAGGGCCACCTGGCCAGGCACTCAAGGCCCCCATGCTGTGACCATGACCTCACGTGGAGGGCCACCTGGCCAGGCTCTCAAGGCCTCCATGCTGTGACTATGACCTCACGTGGACAGCCACCTGGCCAGGCTCTCAAGGCCTCTTCAGTCTACCGGTCAACCTCTTCGACCAGAATTTCTCCACCTTGGCAAGACTGAGCTCTGAGGCCCAATGGCAGTGGCAGGGCAGCATCCCTGGCCTCCACTCACTAGATGCCAAGAGCATCCCCTTGCTGTGACAAGCCAAAACCTCTCTTGACATTGCCCAGCGTCGCCTGGGCACCTCAATCACCAGACAGAACCATGCGTCTAAACATGAGTCAAGCAACTCATCCCCACCCACAGCAAGCCAGGCGCAATGTCTAGTGAACGAAGGACACTGCAGGGGCATGGCCTGACCAGGGGCCTCTGGCACCGCGCCCAGTGTGGCCTCAACACAGGTGTCTCCCTAAGCGTTTCTGGTGCTCTCAAAGGAGCTGAGTGGGACTGGGCCTTGTCCTGGTAGACCAGAGGCTGTCTAGATGGTCTCTATGGTGGGAGCACAGCGACAAGCTGAGAAAGCAGAGACCTCAGGGTTCTGAGGAAGCCCAGGGCAAGGAGTGAACTAGGGGGTCCAGGCAGGAGAGAACAGGAGGAAGAGACACACAGATGGGGTGGAGAAGAGGCCCCAGAGGCAGTGAGCTGGGAACAGTGGGGAGAGGGAGAGGAGTGACCCGGAACACAGAGGTGACCAACAAGGAGAGCAAGAGGAACTGGAGAGGGGAGGGCTGAATGGAGAAAGATGATGGGGAAGCAAGGACCAGGACAAGGGTTGGGGGCTGGGGGAGGCCTGCGGCCAGGAGCTGGTCTGAGGGGCGGTGCGAGGCGGAAGGATGGGAAGAGCAAAGGCAGAAGGGAGCTTGGCACCACATACGTTTTGATCATGGCCTTGAGGGCGACCTTGCGCTCCCGATCTGCAAACTTGTCCACGAGGTAGCCAGACATGCAGGGTGCATGGCAGTAGAGCCGGAAAAAGCGGTGGTAGTTGCCCAGGGCCCAGGCTGTCCTTAATGCCAAGGCGTGGGCCACGCAAGGATCTGCCTTCAGTTCTCGTGTGAGGTATGCCAGCTCCGTGGTGATGTCTAGCACCAAGACAAAGAGGGTGAAGTCAGCAGGGCTCAACCCTGGGTACCATGGCCTCTGTCCTGGGGACTGGGCCTCACCTCCCGAGTTCTTGGTGAAGATGTAGTAGAGGATTCGGTAGGCAGTAAACTCGCCCACATTGCCAGGCAAGTTCTCGGCGTACAGCGACTTGAGCTGCGTCTGGCACTGGTTAAACTCTTCATGGTCACCCTGGAAGGCAGAGGCACCGAGGGAGGAGAGCAGAGTGAGGGTGCTGAGGGCAGAACGGCAGCAGGAAAGGGGCTGGGGAGGCCCGCAGAGGCCAGCTCACCTTCTCCAAGGCGATCCGGGCATGGGTCTCGTACACCTCCACCGTGAACTCGGTGCGGATGCCCTGCACCTGGGGCAGCGGGGCGAGAACAAGAGTCACAAGGAGCGGGAGGCAGGACTGGCTGAGGCCAGGCCCCTCCCAGCGCGAGTCTCACCGTCAGATCCTGCCGGATCGACTTCATCTGCTCGCAGGCAAACGCGTAGTCCTGCTTCTCTTTCCAGTGGCACTTGACCATGCACAGCGACTTTTTCAAAACCTGAAAAAGGGAACTGAATTCACACTCGGAGTACAACTCAGGTAGCGTGGCCAACGGCTTCCACTTATTTGGTGGGAGAGTTGCAACATTAAAAAAAGAAAAAAAAGGCCAGGCGCAGTGGCTCACGCCTGTAATCCCAGCACTTTGGGAGGCCGAGGTGTGTGGATCATCTGAGGTCAGGAGTTTGAGACCAACCTGGCCAACATGGTGAAACCCCGTCTCTACTAAAAATACAAAAATCAGCCAGGCGTAGTGGCAGACGCCTGTAATCCCAGCCACTAGGGAGGCTGAGGCAGGAGAATCGCTTGAAGCCGGGGAGCGGAGGCTGCGGTGAGCCAAGATCACGCCATTGCACTCCAGCTTGGGCGACAGAGCCAGACTCTCTCCCAAAAAAAGAGAAAACAAACCCACAAGACATGGGTTAAGAGTGGCCACCTCCACACCCATTTCCCTATAAGCACATGGCTGTTCACAGGTTCTGCAGCAGAACAGTGACTACGCCAAACACTGGAAGCACAGCCCCCCACGCCCCACAGCCCACGGGCCTGGGAGAAGGCTTTATGCTCCGTGTCACCTAAGCCAGGAACCACGGCCCAGAGGTCAAGCGATTCGCCGGCCAAGCTGCACACCCGCCACGCGGGGCTCCAGGGCAGCAGAGCGCCTTTGCGCTCCTCTCAGAACGCCGACCAGCCGAGGCGTCTCTGGCCGAGCTTCCCCTGCCATACCAGAGCCCCCGTGTGGCCTCTGCCACCCTCCCTGGGTTGGCTCCCCAAGTCCTGAGCCAGCACGGCCTCACAGAGCAGAACTGCCCTGCTGGGCACTTACTGCCACAGGGCGCACGGTGGACGGGTCGGGGGCACAGGTGAGGCGCAGGTAGTGCTTGGTGATGTCAGGGCAGGTGCCCACGATCTGCAGCTCCTGCCAGTCAGGGTCAGCCCCACTGCTCTCCAGGCTGCTCATCTGCAGCACCAGGGGCTCGAGGCGCAGGCGGCGGGAGTGTCCGTGCTGGAAGCGGGCTGCCCGCTTCTGCTTCTTCAGCTCTCGCTCCGGGTCCTCACACTCCAGCGCCGCCATCTTCTTTCGACTGCGCTTGGTGGGCGCCAGATCGTGCCTAGGAAGGGATGAGGGGCAGTGAGCGCGACAGGCGTCTCCAGCCCCCCTTCAGCCTCGCCCCTTTGGCAGCTGGCTGTCCACCTGTCCGGCCCTCCTCCTCCTTCTCCCATGGGTCCCCAGTACCCTCCTCCACCCTGGCCCGTGTGTCGAGCCCTCACACAGTCTCACCTCTTCCCACGCTGCGCCCTGCCTCGGCCCCGATCCATATGGGCCCCTCGACCGCCCCGGCCCTTAGGGGGCGGGTTCCTGCGGCCCACAGGGTGACACTCATTCCCTGAGTAGGAGCTGTCGGAGTCTGAGTGGGAGTCACTGCAGGAAGAAGCAGGAGGGTCAGGCCTGAAACGCCTCCCCCTCCCTCACACACAGCCCCAGCCGGGAGCCTCAGTACCTTCTGCGGAAGTGGCGCGTCGGGGACCTGGAGGAGGAGCGGGAGCGGGAGTCTGTGCTGGAAGAAGAGCTGTTGTCCTTCATGAAGACGTTGCGGTTGCCAAACTTGGTGAAGCTGTTGCCCCGGGCTCGACCGGCACCCCCAGCCCCGGGCGTCCCTCGCTGGGACGGGGCACCCCCGCCCCTTGTCGCCGAGCCTGCCCCTCTAGGAGGGTGAAGGCTGCTAGCGGCCTCCCACCGCTTCTTCTTAGGGCTCTCAGCCACAGGCTCCCGGGTCAGCCTGAGAATACAGCAGGGCAGGGCGTCACCAACCCCGCCAGACACTGGCAGGACAGCCGCCACCACCTCCCTCAAGGTACCGACCCGCCTCCGAAAGGAAAGGCACTTACCCCAGGCGGCTCAGCTACTACAGTGCAGAAATGAGACGCGAACCCAGGTTTTCCGTCTCCAGAGGGTGCGCTTAACCACTGAGCAATGCACGCCTCTCCAGCACCCATGGTCCCCACCCCACCCCACCGGCCTCCCTCCAACCAGGACTTCATCCCCCCAGGATCCAACTTTCCGGTTCATTTCTCTTTGGAGCTCCTGGTACCTGGGACCCGCAACTCTCCTACCTCCATACCCAGCCCATGCCTCTCACAGCACCACCCTCCCACCTATGTCCCCCACCCAGACTAACCCCGGCAAGGGCTCCCGGCTCCAGTCAATGGTATAGGCCGAGCCGTCCTGCAGCCGCGCCTGCAGCACCTCCTTGAGCAGCTTTTCCGTGCGGTCCTTGTCCTCCTCCGACTCACAGGCGGTGAAGCAGCGCTCCACATACTCTTTCATGTCCTGGGGCCAGTCATCGGGCTTCCCAGACAGGTTCCCCCGGGCAGAGGACCCGCTGCGGGAGGACAGATGAGGGGCTCAGCTGGAGACGATCCCAAACTCAAAAGACCATCCCCACCGCCACTCTGAGCTGACACAGCGGGACGCAGTCCCCAAGTTTTCCTTCTGTCTCCTTCAGTGCTCACAGCAACCCCCAAGAGAGGGTCCTTCTGCCCTTTTCAGAGGCGCACACTGAGGCTCAGGGTGGGCAGCTGGCCAGTGGGACTGGACCATAGACGCTGAGTGCAGAGTGTGGGGCTGCGACGGGGCAAGGGGGCAGACGTCACCTGTGGTTCTGAACTTTCTCAGGGTTGGGCTGGGGGCCAAAACCACTGTGCTGGCCCTCTGCGTTGGAGCCAAAGCTCTGGGTGGTAACAGCAAAGGGTCGCTTCTGGATGTTGAACTTGAGACCTCCAGTCCCAGGGGCGGCTGTGAGGGCAGCGAAAGCTATGGTTAGGCCCTTCCCCGGCACATCCAGGGGTCCCCAGGGGACGGGAGGAAGTGGAAATGCAGGGAGGAGCGCTCAGGTTCTAGAGGAGGGCTCCAGCACACATGTGCCTGGTCCAGAGCAGCCCCACCCCCAGCCTGGCGATCACAACACCCAGAAACAAGGAGCAGCACACACCACGGGCCTCACACCCAGGAGCTCTTGTGAGGGCCCAACCGCTCCGACCTCCACGTAGCTCTGCCAACTTACGCTTCATGCGGTTCCACAGCTGTTGGCCCTTCTTGGGCTTGGCAGGTTCGGTGTAGGTGTGTGGCCCATAGGCCTGGCCCGTGGCGGGCCCCGCCTGGCTGTGCTGTGTGGCTGGAGCTGTCCCAGGCTGAGGGCCACTGTTCAGCGTGTGAGCCCCATGTGGGGGATTTGAGGGCTGAGGGGGCTGAGCCGACGGCAGCTGCTGAGGGGGAGCCTGGTAGGACATGCTCTCATCCATGCCGGGGACTGGGGGCTGCAGAAGGAAGCAGGCGCTGAGCACGGGAGGCAGATTCTGGGGCTGGCGAGTGGCACTCAGCCCTCGCTGTGAGGACGCGGTGGTCACAGCACTCAGCACTCAACCCTCCCGTGACCTTCCCAAATGTGAGTTCATTCGAGTCCTCAGTAACTCTGTGAGGTTAACATTTGTTAACAGCCCTTTTCACAGCTGACAAGGCTCCAGCTCAGAGACTAAGCGACTTCCCAGGGCCCTAAGCTATGAAGCGGCAGCTGGCAGCGTTTCAATGCTGGAGTAACAGCCACCGACAACACACCCACTCCAGCGCTACCATCTGAGCACAAGACACCCATGAGCACACACACTCATGGAGCCCAAGGATGAGGCTACCATCCTTCCCGCTTTCGAGAGCTGACCGAGATGCGTAATTACACCAGGGGTGGGACAGCTGGGATTCAAACCCAGGTCTACCTGCCTCCTGTGCACTAGCCCGGCCATTCCTCCAAGCTGCACATTCAATGCAAAACCCAGCCGGTGTGTGCACGCCTGTGGGTGACCATGCTAGGGAAAAAGATGAGATGTCTTTCAACATCTCAGCCCTGGCCTTGGCTCAGCCTTAAACCCACCCCAGGTTCAAACACTATGCTCTGTCCTCCTCATTTTCAGATCAGGAGTTGCTTGGAAGGAAAAAAGCAGCTTAAGGAGTACAAGCCATTCCTCATTGACAGCTCATTCAAAAATCTACACTTCCTCTGCTTGAGCAGGGTATGGGAGCTGGGCTAGGATGTTACCTGGTTCAGAGTCCCTTGGTGTTGGGGTGCGGATGGCTGCTGGGGTGTGGCTGAGCCATAGGAGCCGGCCATCCCATACTGGGAAGGGGAGCCATAGCTCTGGTACATGCTCTGCAAAGGCGCAGGGAGGGAGGGTTTAGTGGGAGGCCTACCCTTTCCGCTTCCCCAGCCTGCTCAGGAACTACACCAGCCATGACCCTCTACCAATCCCTCACCCCTTTCTCTCTCCACTATATTAATGCACCACATCCTCTCATATATTAGGAAAAGAAAAACCTCTATCAATCCCACATCTCACTTAGCTAGTTCTCGGAAGAATATAATCAACGATACTGAGTGCCAACTCTTCTAAGCACTACGACAGAACAAAAGGAAAACCCATGCTGTAATGAAGCTTGTGCTGGAATTACATGTCCGGCTGGAGACATCAACATGTAATACATCCAGCAATAAGGATCATGAAACAATAAGATGGCAAAGAAAGGGAGAGGGACAGGCTGCGAGGCAGGAATGCTACTTTCAATCAGTGTGTCAGGTAGAGGCTCTCTGAAGGCGGCATCTGAGCAGAGACCTCCAAGAGGCGGCAACACAGGGAGCACTGCAGCCAGGGCAAAGCGAGAGCGGGCCTGGCGGGTGCGGGCATCAAGGAGGTCTCTGCTTCGATGGCCATGGCAGAATGAGCATGAGGAGAGAAGGGACCAGAACCGGGTATGTAGGACCTTGTGGCTCATGGCGGGGACCTAGGAATTTACCTCCTGGGCAAGTTAGAGGGTTTCTGAGCAGTTATCACTGCGATCTCCAGTCCATCCACCACCCGGCCCCATCCCGGCAGACTCCACTTCACCTCGCCCCGACCCAGCAGACTCCACCTCGCCCTGCCCCGCCCCACTGGCTGGGCACTCACCATGGGATAGTAGTAGCTGTAGGGGTAGGCATAGTTGTACTGCTGGTACCACTGGTAGTACTGCTGCTGCTGCAAAGCTGAGGCTTCTGCCTGGGACACGTACTGTGGAAGCAGAGAGGCACATGTGCCGTCAGCAGCCCAAATCCACAGGCACACGGCCCCCAAAGGGCAAGCCTGTTTACTGGTGGCCAATTGCCAAGGGATGAAACTGGGTCCATGTATCTGCAAAGTGAGCCACTGTCTCTACCATGAGACTCACGCACGTTAGAGACCAGGGGCATGGGCATGGCCTCCCTCTTCAGAACCACATCACGCCCTAATTTCCTCAAGGAAACAGAACTTTTTCCCGTTCAGATTTAGATACCCTGGAACGTCTTTTTATGTTTCCCCTCAGAGCACCCCGTCTGAATGATACAACAGGACGCCAGACTGTGTCCCTCCCACAACCTCTGGCTCAGGGTACCCCAGCCCCATGAGGCCTTCTCACCTGTGCACTGGCCACAGGCCCATTGCTGCTGGACTTGGCAGAGCCGCCGGCAGCTCCTGACTTGCTGATGCTGGCCAGGGCCTGACGGGCCTTCTCCCACTCCGGGTTCTCGTGCATCGGCGTCTCCATGCCATTCTCTCGGCCTGCCCCAGCCACCATGCTGTACTGAGAAGACCTGCAGAGAGAGAGGACATCAAGTCACACCTGTTCTCCCCACTGTACACAGGTGGGCAAGTTGGGAGGCAAATTCCAGCCCCTGGATCCCATATCTAACTGTTACTACCAGTCTAAGCCTAAGTTTTCTAATCTGTACTATGCTGATAAAGGGTTTCTGCTTCAGAGTCTGCTGGGAGGGATAAATGAGATCACCTACTTAAGGTACTTATCCCAGAGCCTGGCACACAGCAGTTGTTAAAACCAAACAAACAAAACAATTAACAGAACCCACAGAACTGAACACAGGCCCTGGCACCTCCTAGGGCTATGTCTTTCATGAATCAATGAATTCTGTCTGACATCACCCCAGTCGGCAGGTTATCACACTATTTTGAGAAAAAATAAGGAATCAGCAGAAAAACAAATAAATGACTGTGTATTGAGTGTTGGGAAGCTGCCTCCTAATTACACTTGCTTGAATGAATCATCACAATTCTGCAAAGCAAGCGCTGTACTGTGAAAAACGAAAGCTCAGAGAGGTGAAAGCTTGCCCCTCTCCACACCACAACCAAATGCTTCCCTCTGTGTTTGCCTTACCACCACCCCCACCCACAGGGATTGTGGCATCACCTCCCCTAAGGCCACGGGAGGTCCCACCCCAGAGGACAGCACTGGGTCTTGCTTCCTCTTTCCCTCCCGACTGGCCTCCGTCCCTCTCGCCTCACTAACCAATCTGTGCTACGTTGATCACCCACGTTGGCCGCCATCTGGACCTTGGGGTATAAGGGGTGGACCTCGGGAGCCAGACTGCTTTTTCACTGCCTATGAGAAAAAGAATGAGTTAGGGAGACTTAAGGGGGAGCTAAAAACACGTCACAAAGTGGGGAAGAAAAGTAGATGGACTCAAGAGAAGCTGGGCAGAAAAGGGGAGGCTGACTGAAAAGCCACTGGGGTCAAGGATCTGAAGAGTTCTGGGTGTGGACTAGAAAGGCTGGAGTGAGGGGAAGCCCCTGGCCCCTTTGTAGAGCTCCAGGTGGAAAACGAAGGATTTGGAAACAGGGAAGCCAGAGCAGACTTCCCAAAGGAAAGGAGAAGGGTCTGAAACCCATGTGAGCAAAGAGAGGCTGTGATGAAAGGTCCAGAGGGTAGGGGTGCCTCCATCAAGGGGAAAAGGTCTACAAAAAATTCTAGGGGCCAGGCGCGGTGGCTCACGCCTGTAATCCCAGCACTTTGAGAGGCCAAGGCGGGCAGGTCACCTGAGGTCGGGAGTTCGAGACCAGCCTAACCAACATGGAGTAACCACGTCTCTACTAAAAATACCAAATTAGCTGGGCATGGTGGCATATGCCTGTAATCCCAGCTACTAGGGAGGCCGAGGCAGGAGAATCGCTTGAACACGGGAGGTGGAGGGCGGTAAGCTGAGACTGCGCCATTGCTCTCCAGCCTGGGCAACAAGAGCGAAACTCTGTCTCAAAAAAAAAAAAAAAAAAAAGCTAAGGAGTACGGGTTGTGAAAGGAACCTGAACCAAGAGGATGGATGCTATAATGAGAAGAGTCTGAGGGAACCCTTAAGGCTGAGAGGGTGGAAAGGTTTCCGAGAACTCTGTGAAAAGGGAGGCCTTTCAGGGAGCATCGAGGGGGCTGGAAGAATATTGGAGAAGAGAAGAAAATTTTGAGAGGAAAAGGGGATTTTCCGGAAGTTAACCCTGGAAGCAAGTGGTCGTTGAGCGCTCCTGAGAATGCCAACGTGAACCCCAACGTGAAGAAATGGGTTCTTAGCACTGACAGACTGATTTCAAAAAGGTCTCCGAAGGGCAGTAAAGAGACCTACGTGGGAGTCCTCAGTGGGACTACCCCTGCCTGCTTCCACGGGAGGTTCCCGGAAGCAGGGGTAGGGCTGGGAGAGAAAAGGGATCACCTTGGTTGGGTGTCTGGACATAAAGCTTTGGGAATGCCAAAGAAGACCCAAAACATGTTCAACGAATTAAGAGTGGGGTACAGAGAGAATTGGAAGAAAAGTGGAGTGTCTCCGGAGCAAGGATTCAGGAGCCTAAACTCCCGAGAGAGAGTAACTGATAAGTAGGATAATTAATCCCGCAGGAGAACCGGAATTCTCACGAGTTGACGGGATAGGAACGGGAGTCTGGAGCTGGGGAAAAGCCCTAGAAACGCAAAGGCTTAACTTAAACAGGACACAGGGCGTGGGTGGAGACGAGGGATCGTGGCGGGGACACAGGAAGAGGAGCCCCAGGGCAGAAGGGAGATTAGAGGTAAGGTCAGGAGTTGGGGGCTGGACAGAGGACTCCCAGACGGGTCTCAAGAACAGAGACAGGCATCAGACGCGAGGCCTGAGGTCCCGGGAGCACCTGGCCGTCCCGCAGGCTGGGCGAAGGCAAAGGAGGACGCCGGGTGGAGGAGGCCGCTCGGATCCCCACGACTAGCCACGGAGCCACTGCCCAGGCCGCGCCTGCGCACCACGCCCCAGAAAGACGCGCAGGAGCCGCCCGTCGCCCGGGGCAACACCCGGTCAACGGCGAGTGAGGGGCGCCCCGGGGCCCCGAGAACTCCAAGGGAGAGGAACGGAAAGTAGAAGACGACGGCGCACGCGCGCTAGTGCCCGAACGCGCGGCCCCAGGCCCGGTGCGCAGGCGCAGTGGCTGCCCCTGCGCCGCCACACCCTGTCGACGCTCGCGCGCGGCGTCTGCTGCTGCGACGGCCGAGAAGGCCTCGGGGCTCGCGGGGCGCAAGACCAAAAGGAGATGCTATCCCCGCCCGCCTGCTCGCCCGCCGCTCCCCTTACCAACCAGGATCCTTCGCTGCAGGGACACGCCAACAACCACCCAGGCGATCAGCAACACGGCCACGACACCGCTGTGCCACCCGGCTGGCTCTGGTCTTCTTTGGCTTCGACGTCCTGACCGCGGCGTCCTGACGTCACGCGGCGGCCTTGCACCGCCTCCCTCGGCCCTGCACAGCCAATGAACGCCACGAGCTGCGCTTGAGCCCGCCTTCCTGCCCACGCACTTACGCATGAACATTTTAAGGCAGACCGGAAGTCTGGGTGGGGACGGTGGCCCCGAGGGGACAAGCGTGGCCGCATTAGCTCTTTCTGCCTCCCACGCAGCCTTATTTTTTTTATTGTTGTTTTCTTGTTGCTGTTGTTGTTGTTCTCGGAGACGGAGTCTTGCTCTTGCTCTGTCGTCGCCCACGATAGAGTACAGTGGCGTGATCTCTGCTCACTGCAACCTCCGCCTCCTGGGTTCAAACAATTCTGCCTCAGCCTCCGGAGTAGCTGGGATTACAGGCGCGCGCCACTATGCCCGGCTAATTTTTGTGTTTTTAGTAAAGACGGGGTTTCACCATGTCGGCCAGGCTGTTCTCGAACTCCTGACCTCGTGATCCCTCCGTCTCGGCTTCCCAAAGTGCTGGGATTACGGGCGTGAGCCACCGTGCCCGGCCGCAGCCTTGTTTTGACTGAGTCAGTGGGAGCCATTACTGTTCCTAAATGTAAACTGGCGTGACAGGAGTTCCGGGATTGTCCACAGCACGGTGATGTGGAAGCCCTGGGGAGAGAATGATAAAGAAAGGGGATGAGGAACAGCTCCACCCGGAAGAGCGGGCTTCCCTAGCAAATGAATCTGGAAGGGCGCAGGGGAGGGGGCACGGCGAGTTCAGATGG
Source organism: Homo sapiens (assembly GCF_000001405.40). Taxonomy (NCBI): domain Eukaryota; kingdom Metazoa; phylum Chordata; class Mammalia; order Primates; family Hominidae; genus Homo; species Homo sapiens. The sequence continues at coordinate 353,117 of NW_003571060.1, read as the reverse complement.
ACCGAGGCTGGAAGCTGACGCGGTTGGAGGGGGATGGGTGTAGCTGTTGGCAGTGGCGCTGGGGTGGAAGTGTGTGGGGTCACAGATGTGTAAGGGTGGGCGCGGAGCAGACCCCCGAAGGTCCCTGAGGTCAGGCTGAGGCATTGGACCAAATCCGTACATAGGCATTTCTCTGAACTGCGCGCCACCTTTTGAGTGCCATCTGTTTCCGTCCAGGACTCTGATACAACTATCCAGTCCGCTGCAGGGACCGGTCACTGCGTCACAGTAAGTGGTGGGATTTAAGAGGCAGTTTTCCTCCTCATGTTCTACCATTATGAACGTCTAGCTTGAAAAATACATACCATTTTCATAACTACGTATTATTTTGTTAGTGCTAGCATAGTAGATCTTTTTCCGTTATTTTACTCTGTGGGGGGGGGGGGTTTGTTTTGTTTTTGTTTTTGTTTTCTTTTTGGTACTAAGCTTTTTGTTCTGGAATAATTTTGGATTTATTCAAAACGTTGCAAAGACCGGGCGCGCTGGCTCACGCCTGTAATCCCAACACTTTGGGAGGCCGAGATGGGTGGATCACCTGGGGTCAGGAGTTCAAGATCAGCCTGGCCAACATGGTGAAGTCCCGTCTCTACTAAAAATACAGAAATTAGCTGGGCGTGGTGGCGCGTGCACCTGTAATCCCGGCTACTCGGGAGGCTGAGGCAGGAGAATCGCTTGAACCCAGGAGGCCAAGGTTGCAGTGAGCCGAGGTTACACCATTGCACTCCAGCCTGGGCAACAAGAGTGAAATTCTTGTCTCAAAAAAAAAAAAAAGAAAAGTTGCAAAGATCATACGCAGTCCACCATGTTTTATGCTCAGTTTCTTCTGATGCTGTCATCACAAGCACCAACAAAAGTGGTTTGTTGTAGATACTGACATGATGCATTACTGTAACTAAAACCCAGACTTTACTGGGATTTCACCACCTTTTCCTCCAATGTTTTCTTTACATGCCAGGGTACAAGCCAGGACCCACGTTCCATTTAGCTTCCTTTTACCTGTTGTATTTAGGGTGGGTTTCTTGTAGATAGCATGTAGTTGGATCTTGCTTTTTTTTGCCCAAGCGAACAGTCTCTGCCTTTTAAAAGAGGTGTTTATAACTGTACTTTTATTTTTTATGTCTTATTCTTTAGCATTCTGTACACAGACACAGCGATAAAATGAAATGACTGGAACTTAAATGTGAAAACTCTTTACAAGTAAGCCCACAATTAGATACATTTATCTTACATGTCAGGGAAAAAAATTATGTAAACAGGACAAATTATATCACAAAAGAATCCCAAAGTAGAAAAAATACCTAAGAAATGTGTCTAACCATGAAAAGTACTGTTCTCTTGGTGTCTTCACATCGTGTCTTCTGTGTACTTAAGTACAAAACATTGTTGCCTCTGATTAATGCACCCTGTACTTATTTTTCTGTTGTCCAGTTACATATTTGGTTGGTTCCAGGGCTATGTTCATGTAGCCATCCAGGCAAACCAGCACCCCTCCCTTAATCCACTTCAGAATTTTACCCCAACTGTCTGATGATGTGCTCTAAGAAGTCACTAGGGGATTGCTTTTCTTAAAAAATCTATTATTATTATTATTTTTTGAGACGGCTCTGTCGCCCAGGCTGGAGTGCAGTAGCACGATCTCAGCTCACTGCAACCTTTGCCTCCCAGGTTCAAGCAATTCTCTTTACAGGCGTGCACCACCACACCCAGCTAATTTTTGTATTTTTAGTGAAGACGGGGTTTCACAGTATCTGGAATTCCGGACCTCAGGTGACCCGCCCGCCTCTGCCTCCCAAAGTGCCGGGATTACAGGCATGAGCCACTGCGCCTGGCCAGTAGGGGGTTGCTTCTGAAAACTTATTTTAATAATCTTGGGTAGGCCAGGCGCGGTGGCTCATGCGTGTGATCCTAGCACTTTGGGAGGCCGAGGCGTGTGGATCACCTGAGGTCAGGAGTTCAAGACCAGCCTGGCCAACATGGCGAAACCCCGTCTCTACTAAAAATACAGAAAAATTAGCCGGGCATGGTGGCGCATGCCTGTAATCCCAGTTACTCATGAGGCTGAGGCAGGAGAATCGCTAGAACCCTGGGGGTGGAGGTTGCAGTGAGCCCAGATCATGCCATTGCACTCCAGCCTGGGAGACAGAGCGAAACTCTGTTTCAAAAAATAATAATCTTGGGGGGCAGGAAACCTAAGTCATAATCCCGGCTCTTTTACTTAACCAGCCGTATGACTTGGAAAACTCGTTTCCCTTCTCTCGGCTCCAGATTCCTCATCTTGCAGCTGGGATCCAGAGCTCTCACTCCAGGAGCCCAGTCACAGCAAAAACCAAAACTGTACTTTTTTTTTTTTTTTGAGACAGGGTTTCTCATTCTGTCACCCAGGCTGGAGTGCAATGATGTGATCTCTGTCTCAGCCCACAGCAGCTTCAACCTCCCAGGCTCAAGTGATCCTCCTGCCTCAGCTACGCAGTGTATGGTATTTTGTTACAACAACCAGAATGTAGTAAGACATTTATTGAAGGATATCTTGGTTCCTTCCAAGTTTTTGGCAGTGATAAAGAAAGCTGCCATAAACGTGCACGTGCAGATTTCTTTGTGGGCAGAAGTTTTCAACCCATCTGTGTAAATACTGGGGAGCAGTGTTGCTGGTTCATATTCTAAGAGTATGTTTAGGATTATGAGAGACCACCACACTGTCCTCCAAAGTAGCTGTACCATTCTGCATTGCCAGCACCAATGAAGAAGGGTTTCTGTTGCTCCACATTTCTGCCAGCATTTGGTGGTGCCAGCATTTTGGATTTGGCATTCTAATAGGTATGTAGTGGTGTCTTGTTTTTTTTTTGTTTTTTTGAGACAGAGTCTCACTCTGTCTTCCAGGCTAGAGTGCAGTGGCATGGTCTCGGCTCACTGCAACCTCCGCCTCCTGGGTTCAAGCGATTCTCCTGCCTCAGCCTCCCGAGTAGCTGGGACTACAGGCGTGCGCCACCACGCCCAGCTAATTTTTGTATTTTTAGTAGAAACGGGGTTTCACCATGTTGGCCAGGATGATCTCGATCTCTTGACCTCGTGATCCACCTGCCTTGGCCTTCCAAAGTGCTGGGATTACAGGTGTGAGCCCCCGCGCCCGGCCAGTGGTGTCTTGTTTTAATGGACGGTTCCCTAATGACATACGGTGAACATCTTTTCCTGTGTTTATTTGCCATCTGTATTAGGGTTCTCCAGAGGGCCAGAACTAACAGGATATATGTATATATTGAAAGGGAGTATATTAGGGAGAACTGGCTGACAGGATCATCAGGCAAAGTCCCACTATAGTCCATCTGCAAGCTGAGGAAGGAAGAAGCCAGTCACGTCTCAAAGTCCAAAAGCCTCAAAAGTAGGGAAGCCAACGGCGCAGCCTTCAGTCTGTGGCGGAAGGCCTAAGAGTCCCCGACAAACCACTGGTGGAAGTTCAAGAGTCCAAAGGCCAAAGAACCTGGAGTCTAATCTCCAAAGACAGGAAGTATCCAGCACAGGAGAAAGATGAAAGCCAGAAGACTCAGCAAGCCAGCCCCTCCCACCTTCTGCGCTGACTGGATGGTGCCCACCCACACTGAGAGTGGGTCTCCCTCTCCCCGTCCACTCACTCAAGTGTCAGCCTCCCTGGCAACACCCTCACAGACACACCCAGAAACAATCCTTTTTTTTTTTTTTTTTTTTTTTTTTTTTTTTTTTTTTTGAGACCGAGTCTCACTCTGTCACCCAGGTTGGAGTGCAGTGGCACCATCTCGGCTCACTCCAACCTCCGCCTCCCGGGTTCAAGCAATTCTTCTGCCTCAGCCTCCCGAGTAGCTGGGACTACAGGCACGTGCCATCATGCTGGCTAATTTTTGTATTTTTAGTACAGGGTTTCACCATATTGGCCAGGCTGGTCTCAAATTCCTGCCCGTCTTGGCCTCCCAAAGTGCTGGGATTACAGGTGTAAGCCACCATGCCTGGCCCCTTTTCCTATTTTTTAATCAGATTGTTTTCCTGTTAACTGAGTTTTAAGAGCCCTTTGTAAATCTTGGATAGCAGTCCTTCATGAGATAGGTCTCTTGCAAATAGTTTCTCCCAGGCTGCAGCTTTTCTCATTATATTAAAAATGTTTTTCAAAGAGCAGAGGGTTTTGTTTTGTTTTGTTTTTTGAGATGGAGTCTCGCTCTGTCGCCCAGTCTGGAGTGCAGTGGCGTGATCTCGGCTCACTGCAAGCTCCGCCTCCCGGGTTCACGCCATTCTCCTGCCTCAGCCTCCTGAGTAGCTGGGACTACAGGCACCTGCCACCACACCTGGCTAATTTTTTGTATTTTTAGTAGAGATGGGGCTTCACCGTGTTAGCCAGGATGGTCTCGATCTCCTGACCTCGTGATCCGCCCGCTTCGGCCTCCCAAAGAGCTGGGATTACAGGCGTGAGCCACCACGCCTGGCCTAGCAGAGGGGTTTTTTTATTATTATTTTAATAAAGTCAAGCTTGTAAGTTTCTTTCATGGATCATGCCTTTGATGTTGTATCAAAAAAATTATCACGGCTGGGCGTGGTGGCTCACAGCTGTCATCCCAGTATTTTGGGAAGCCGAGGTGAGTGGATCACTTGAGGCCAGGAGTTTGAGACCAGCCTGGCCAACGTGGCAAAACCCCATCTCTACTAAAAATACAAAAATTAGCCGGGCGTGGTGGCGCACACCTGTAATTCCAGCTACTCAGGAGGCTGAGGCATGAGAATCACTTGAACCCAGGAGGCAGAGGTTGCAGTGAGCCAAGATTCTGCCAGTGCACTCCAGCCTGGGCGACAGAGTGAGACTCTTGTCTCAAAAAAAAAAATTCACAAAACCCAGTCATGTAGGTTTTCTCCTATGTTATCTTCTAGGAGTTTTATAGATTTGCATTTAACATTCAGCTCTATGATCCATTTTGAGTTAATTTTTGTGAAGAGACTAAGGTCTGTGTATAGATTTGATTTATTTATTTTTGGCATGTTGATGTCCAGTTGTTCTAGCACCATTTGTGGAGAGAAGTTTGGAAGTTTGAGCATTTTTTATGATACCTTTTTTTTTTTTTTAGACGGAGTCTCACTGTCATGCAGGCTGGAGTGCAGTGGCACAGTCTCGACTCACTGCAGCCTACTCCTCCCAGGTTCAAGCAGTTCTACTGCCTCAGCCTCCCAAGTAGCTGGGATTACAGGCGTGCACCACCACACCCAGCTCCTTTTTGCATTTTTAGTAGAGACAGGGTTTCACTATATTGGCTAGGCTGGTCTCAAACTCCTGACCTCGGGATCTGCCTGCCTTGGCCTCCCAAAGTGCTGGGATTACAGGTGTGAGCCACCACGCCCAGCCTTATGATACTGTTCTATCTCTGCTCTGTGCCCACCACCACACCCAGCTAATTTTTGTATTTTTTGGTAGAGACGGGGTTTCACCATGTTGGCCAGGCTGGTCTCGAACTCCTGACCTCAGGTGATACGCCTGCCTCAGCCTCCCAAAATGCTGGGATTACAGGTGTGAGCCACTGCGCCTGGCCTTGTCTTCACTTTTGTTTTTTTGGTTTTTTTTTTGAGAGGGAGTCTTGCTCTGTCGCCCAGTCTGGAGTGCAGTGGCGCGATCTCGGCTCACTGCAAGCTCCGCCTCCCGGGTTCACGCCATTCTCCTGCCTCAGCCGCCCGAGTAGCTGGGAATACAGGCGTCCACCACCACGCCCGGCTAATTTTTTGTATTTTTAGTAGAGACGGGGTTTCACTGTGTTAGCCAGGATGGTCTCGATCTCCTGACCTTGTGATCCGCCCGCCTCTGCCTCCCAAAGTGCTGGGATTACAGGTGTGAGCCACCGTGCCCGGCCCACTTTTGAAAAACAGTTTCAGTGAGTATCGAATTCTAGGTTGACTACTTTTTTCTTTTGCTACTTTAAGAATTTTCTTACACTGCTTTCTCACATTGTTTCCAGTGAGAAATCTGGTGTCATCCTAATTTTTGTTCCTCTGTTTATAAAATCTTTTTGTTTTTCATCTGGCTGTTGTCAAGATTTTCTCTTTGTTACTGGTCTTAAGAAATTTGATTATGATGTATCTTGGTTTATCTTTGTGTTTCTTCTGCTTGGGGTGTGTTGAGTTTCTTGTGTCTTTGGTTTTATAGTTTGTATCAAATTTGGGAAATTTGGGGTTATTATTTCTTTAAACACTCTCTCTGTTCCTTTCTTTCTCTCTCCTTATGGGCCTCCAGTTACACATATATTAAAATGTCCCACAGCTCACCAGTGTTCTTTTCATTAAAAAAAAATATATTCATTCCTTCTGGGGCAGGGCATGGTGGCTCATGCCTGTAATCCCAGCACTTTGGGAGGCCAAGGCAGTAGGATCACTTGAGCCCAGGAGTTTGAGACCACCCTGGGCAACATGGTGAGACCTCATCTCTACAGAAAATTTTTAAAGATTAGCCAAACATGGTGGTGTGCGCCTGTAGTCCCAGCTACTCGAGAGGCTAAAGTGGGAGGATCGCTTGAGCTGGAGAGGTTGAGGCTGCAGTGAGTCATGATCACGCCAGTGCACTCCAGCCTAGGTGACAGAGTGAGACCCTGTCTAAAAAGTAAAAAAAAAAAAATCATTTTTTTAAATGTTTCATTTGGACAGTTTCTAATGTTGTCTTCCAGATTTTTTTTTTTTTCCTGCAATGTCTAATCTGCTGTTCTAGGGCTGGGTGCAGTGGCTCGCACCTGTAATCCCAGCACTTTGGGAGGCCGAGGCTGGCAGATCATTTGAGGTCAGGAGTTTGAGACCAGCCTGGCCAACATGGTGAAAGCCCGTCTCTACTAAAAATACAAAAATTAGCTGGATGTGGTGGCAGGTGCCTGTAGTCTCAGCTACTTGGGAGGCTGAGGCATGAGAATTGCTTGAACCTGGGAGGTGGAAGTTGCAGTGAGCCTAGATCATGCCACTGCACTACAGCCTGGGCAACAGAGCAAGACTCTCCCCCAAAAAACAAAAATCTGCTGTTCCAGCCAGTACATTATTTATTTCAGACATTGTAATTTCTATCTGTTGATATCCAGTTTGAGTTTTTTTATATCTTCCGTATCTGTAAAGAACTTTTGGAACGTATGGAGTACAGTATAATAGTTGTTCTAATGTTCTTACCTACTAATTCTAACTCCTGGGTCCGTTTCAGTTGAATGATTTTTATCCTCATGATGTGCCCTATTTTCCTGCTTTTTGCATATTTGGTGACTTTGTTGTTGGATACTAGACAATATCAGTATTACCTTGTCGAGCACTCGTTACTTTTGTATGCCTATAAATATTCTTGAGCTTTGTTTGAGAATGCAGTCACCTTACTTGGAAGCAGCTTGATCCTTTCAGGTTTTGCTTTTAAGATTCCTCAGGCAGGACCAGAACAGTGTTTAACAGGTTAGGGCTGCTTATTCCCCACGGCTGATGTAAGACCCTCTCCGTGTTCTACCCAGTGTTCCTTCAGTTATGAGGTTCTTCTGGCAGGAACAGCGCCTTGTCAAGGCCTGTGTGAGTCCCCAGAACTCAGGCGCTATTTGCTTCAGTCCCTCCAGGTGGTTCTTTCCCTGGCATTCTAGTCTGCAGTAACAGAGGACCATGGACTGGTGGCTCAAAAACAACAAACACTTATTTCTCACAGTTCTGGAGGCTGGAAGTCCAAGATAATTTATTTTTATTTTTATTTATTTATTTTTTGAGATGGAGTCTCGCTCTGCTGCCCAGGCTGGAGTGCAATGGCGCGATCTTGGCTCACTGCAACCTTCGCCTCCCAGGTTCAAGAGATTCCCCTGCCTCAGGCTCCCGAGTAGCTGGGACTACAGGCACCCACCACTACACCCGGCGAATTTGTATATATTTAGTAGAGACAGGGTTTCACCATGTTGGCAAAGCTGGTCTCGAACACCTGAGTTCAGGTGATCTACCCACCTCGGTCTCCCAAAGTGCTGGGATTACAGGCGTGAGCCATCGCACCCGGCCCATAACTTCATTCTCAAAACAAAGCTCAAGAACAAAGCTCAGACTCCCTGCTTTGTCTCCTCTGCTCACGGAGTCCTCCCAGCTCCGCCTCAGTCTTCCCTCCCTGTCCCGTGGTCTAGAAACTTGCAACAGGACCCAGCGGCAATTTTAGGGCTTGCCTTGATGTTTCCCGTTCCTCAGGGATCACTTTCTTGGTAGAGTCTTGACCACTGTTGTTTTCTTGTATTTACTCTATTTTTGGGGGGTCAAGTCCAGTCTCTGTGACTCCATCCTGGTCGCAGTGGAAGCCCCCATAGGTAACATTCTAAAAATAACACTGGATTTTCCTTTTGTAAAGTTTGGGTAAAATGCCTTTTTTTTTTTTTTTTTTTTTTTTGAGACGGAGTCTTGCTCTGTCGCCCAGGCTGGAGTGCAGTGGCGCGATCTCGGCTCACTGCAAGCTCCGCATCCCGGGTTCAGGTGATTCTCCTGCCTCAGCCTCCTGAGTAGCTGGGATTGCAGGCGCCCGCCACCATGCCCAGCTAATTTTTGTGTTTAGTAGAGATGGGGTTTCACCGTGTTGGCCAGGCTGGTCTCAAACTCCTGACCTCAGGTGATCGCCTGCCCCAGCCTCCCACAGTGCTGGGATTACAGGCGTGAGCCAGGGTGCCCGGCCAACTTCTTGTTGAGAGATCACCCCCAGGCTCATTGGCATGGGAGATCAAGCAGCTGAGTCTCAAGGTACTTTGCAGCCGCCCAACAGCCAGCGGATGCCTGTGCTTGGGAAATGGGCTCAGGGGCACTAGAGGGCAGTGTTTGAGAGGAAAGAAGTCAGCATAGCAGCAGGGCCGGGCCTGGGGCAGACAGCCCACATGGTTAGGAAAAAGTGAGTGAACGCATGTGGCCCCCAGAACCCCTCCCTGAAATTGCAGTTGATTTTTATTCCCACCGTCAGGCCCACATATCTAAAGCTTCCTCTGAACGCTCCTTGCAGTACACAAAATAGAAATGATTGACAGGCACAGAGCAGCAGCAGGCCCCACGCTGTACACCAGCATCTGGCACTGTGGGTCACCAAGCACCAACTCGATCCCCTCGGAGCCAGGTGTGTGTTGAGATTCAGGATTTTTCAGTTGCAAAGGCAATATGATCTCTACTCCACAGGGCACACGGCACCCTCAGTGCTCAGCACAGCAGTGTGCAGCAGCCTGGTTAACTTTTCTGCAGGGAAGTATGTGAACGTTCACACCAAGCGTGTCAGTCATGTCTGTAAGTCATCTCCCACCAACACAGGTCAGGTTTTCCTGCCCAATGAGCTTGGGGATGGCTTGACTTTGGAGCTCTTTGGATCTGTGGATTTTGGAATTTTGGATTTCTGATACCCGTTTGATCAAAGAGGCAACCGAGGTCTAACGGGTCAAGTGACTTTCCCATATCCGTGAAGGTCATGAAAAGCAGGGCCAGGATGGTGGCCTGGGGTGCCTTGAATGATAAGCTGGGCCCTTCACTGTGCAGGCCCCTCTCCTTCAGTCCACTCTGCCACTGCTGTCTGCCACACCCTGCTCTGATAGCTCCTCTCTGCCAGGCTTTTCCCTCACATCCTCAACTCAGCCAAGAGCTGGTTTCTTCCAGAGAGCCCTGCTGTGCAGTCAGTTATTGGACTTCTCTTTTTGTGCATGTTTGTTTTCAGGGTTTAGCTGATCAAAGTGGTATCGTTGTAACAGGCAGCTCTAAATAGAAGTCTTCAGAAGCCTGTGTGTCTTTTTCTGTAAATCAATTCCCAAAAGCAGGATTGTTGGGGCATGGGGTGTATGCAGTTTTGATCTGATCACATACAAGCGCATTTTTTTTTTTTTTCAAGGGATGGTGGCAGCTCACAGCCTCAGGAGAAGTGTTTTGAGTGCCTGTTCCTCTAGGTCCTCGCCCGCCCAGGACATCACCACTCTTGTTAATTTCATTGTGTCTAGGTAGTGAAAAAGTGTAGTTTCTCATTCTTTCAAATTGCATTTCCCAATTATTAGAGTTTGAATCTTTTTGTCTGTTTACTGATGTTGGAATTTTTATTGAGTATTCAACTCAATTGATTACTTTTAAATGGGTTGTCTTTTTCTTAGTTTATGAAAGCTTTTGTAGATTATATCTTTTAAGAATAACATTTCTGCATCATAACTGTTAACATACACACACACACACACACACACACACACACACACACACGCACGCACACACTCACTGTTCCCCAGTCTGTCAATTTGCCATTTGACTTTACGGTATGTTTTTCAATCTATAATTTGCCAACTAAGCTATCTTTTCCTTTCTGGTTTTATGATCTCCTGCTTAAACTCCTCCCTCCCCATTTTCCCTACCCAGATACATGACATGCAGACAATATACAAATATTCTCCTAATTTCTCTGGTTTGTTTTGTTTTGTTTTGTTTTTTTCTGAGATGGAGTCTCACTTGATCTCCCAGGCTGGAGTACAGTGGTGCAACCTCCACCTCCCGGGTTCAAGCAATTCTCCTGCCTCAGCCTCCCGAGTAGCTGGGCTTACAGACCTGTGCCACCATGCCCAGCTAATTTTTTTTTTCTTTAAGTAGAGACGGGGTTTCACCATGTTGGCCACTCTGCTCTCAAACTCCTGGCCTCAAGGGATCCACCCACCTTGGCCTCTCAAAATGCTGGGATTACAGTCATGAGCCACCGCAGCCAGCCTCTCTCTGTTTTTTGTCTTTTTTTTTTTTTTTTTTTAAGAGGCAGGGTCTTGGCCGGGCGCGGTGGCTCACGCCTGTATTCCCAGCACTTTGGGAGGCCGAGACGGGCGGATCACGAGGTCAGGAGATCGAGACCATCTTGGCTAACACGGTGAAACCCCGTTTCTACTAAAAATACAAAAAATTAGCCGGACGTGTTGGCGGGCGCCTGTAGTCCCAGCTACTTGGGAGGCTGAGGCAGGAGAATGGCATGAACCTGGGAGGCGGAGCTTGCAGTGAGCCGAGATCGCGCCACTGCACTCCAACCTGGGTGACAGAGCGAGACTCCGTCTCAAAAACAAAAAAAAAAAAAAAAAAAGAGGCAGGGTCTTGCTCTGTTGCCCAGGCTGGAGTGCAGTGGCACGATCACAGCTCACTGCTACCTCGAAACGGGCTCAAGCAAGGAGTCTCAGCCTCCCGAGTAGCTGGAACCACAGGCATGCACCACCATGCCCACCCTCCTAATTTCTCTAGAAATTCTTCTGTGCCTTTACTTGCATACATCTAGATCTTCCACCCATCTTATCTATAGAAGTTTTTGGCCAGATGGAGAGCCGATATGTCACTACTGCTGCTAAACCAACCGTCCTTTCCACACTGACTTGAAATCTGTCTTCTGTCATGTGTGTATATATATATATATACACACACACACACACACACACACAGTTAGATCTATTTCTAGGCCATCTATTCTGTGCCAGAGATGCCTGTGTCTTCCTGTGTCAGGACACGCGCATTACTTTTAGAATCAGAAGAAAGCGTTTTGTTTTTTGATTTTTTTTTTTTTTTTTTTAAAGAACAATGTCTTTGGACCCCTTGCTGAGCCTGGACAGGCGCAGAAATTCCTGGCAGCTGGGAGGCCGGGGGAGAGAGGACAGCAGGGAGGATGTCCCAGCCCTGGCCAGGAGGCCGAATCAAGGGAGAGGAGAAATAAGGAGGACCCAGCTGCTTGTAAAATAGTCTTCCCTTTTATTTTAAATCAACCCTTTTCCAAGTTAGTGCCACGAGTTGAGATCAGGGGGTCAGAGCCCACTGGGATGTGGCAGGGGCAGCAGGGGGACTCATGTCCCCCACCCCCAGCTTAGTCCCTCCAAGGATGGGACCGGCAGCCAGGGATGAAGGGTGCGAGGCGAGGCTGTCTGCCCCCTCCCCTGCCAGCCCTACTCCCTAGTCTGCCCCCTCAGCTACTCCCAAGGCCAAGGACAGAAATGGGAGCACAGTGGCCAAGAGCAGGGAGGCGGTCCTGTGCAGGCTGTCCATGGCCAAGAGTGTTAGTGGTCAGAGCCCAGGCAGGCTGGGTTAGTGGGGTCTCCTCCGGCAGCCAGGGAAGGAACTGCGGAGAGAGGGAGAGACAGGGCAGTGATGCAGGCTGGAGGGCCTGCCCGGTGCGATCCACCCAGCAGGAGGCACGCAGCCCATGCCTGGAGCAGCTCGGAGGGCGGGAGGGGGGCAGAGGCCCGGCTGCAGGAGCTGGGGTGGCCCTTGGAAGCTCACCGAAGAGGGGAGCCAGGCTCCAGTCCAGCCGGGAGGAGGGGCTCAGATAGACGACTGCCACTGCACAAAGCGCTTGGATTCCTGCTAGGAGATTCGGGGTAGCGGGGGAGAGGAGGGAATGGAGTGGGAATTGGCTTTGTACTGTGGGACCCCAGCCCCTCCTCCCTCAGACCCAGGAGTCCGGGCCCCAGCCCCTCCTCCCTCAGACCCAGGCGGCCAGGCCCTCAGCTCCTCCTCCCTCAGACCCAGGAGTTCAGGACCCCCCGCCCCTCCTCCCTCAGACCCAGGCATCCAGTACCTGAGGGTTGAAAGGGTCGTCATCGTCTGTGTCATCGTAGTCGTCACTGGGGTTTGATGCGGGGCATGGCAGAGAGGCGGGATGGGGACCCATCAGGAGGCTGCACCCCCCACCCCCACTGCCACCGTGGTCCCCAGGTGCTGCCCCTCCTCTTCCCTCCCCAGGACCCTACCCTCCCCCGCTCCTGACCTGGGTGGGAAGAGGGCCCAGGCTCGGGGCAGGCTGCAGAGGGCAGTGGCCAGCGCTCCTGCAGACAGCAGGGAGAAGAGTAGCAGGAAGAGCAGGCCTTCCAGGGCGTCTTCGCACAGGCCCCGCAGGGCTGCACCATAGTCCTGAGGGGAGGGCGTCATCAGGCCATGCGTCCCCACCCCCTCCCCCATCGGCACACACTGTGCACATCAGTCTGACCGTCCTCCCGGCTGTGGTACTGCACACGTCAACTGACCACTCTGTGCCTCAGTTTCCCCTGTCAAAGGGCAGTTCTGAGAATACAGTGGGTACAGTGGGGTCTTTGGTGTGATAGGCCTGGCACTCAGGAATTAATTGCCCAGCCTCCAGACTTGGCTTCTCCTGAGCTGCACCCGCCCTTGTCATTGCAGGCCCCTATCTCCCTTTCACATGGGTCCTCCCCAGTCAGCACCCCACATCTAGAACCAGTCCAGCATCTCCCACCAGCCCTGGGCCCTCTCCTCCATCTTCATCTACCCAGGAACGTGAGAACTGCTACTTCCGTTTCCCTTCTCCCTCCCGGCAGCGGCACCTCCTGCAAGAGCATCCTCCCCTGCACCAAGCGCCCACAGGCCAGCCACCGCCAGCTCCGCCTTGGTCCAGGGGCGAGGGCTTCATAACCTGGGCCCTGCTGACATTTTGAGCCAGATCATTCTCTGTGGTGACGGCGCTGCCCTGTGTGTTGTGGGGTGCTGAGCAGCCCCACTCAGCTCCACCCACCAGATGCCAGGAGCACCCCCTCCTGCAGTGTGACAACCAACAGCAACTCGGCACCCGGCCAGGTGTCCCTGGGGGCAGAACTCCTCACCCAGCCAGGTGTCCCTGGGGGCAGAATCACTGGCCTAGAGCACGTGGAACAGCACGTCGAAAAACCAACCAGTGGCTCAAGATGACACCGCGCACACAATACACACTCAACATGCCAACAAATGCTGGCTCTGATGACTGTCGTCCCAAGAAATCAGCAGAAACGGCCTTCACCGAGTGCTAAGCACCTGCACAGCGTATGTATTCAGTGGGGGTTGACAGAGCCTGCTCTGCCCCAGGCGCTGCCCCCAGTACCAGGAAACTTCGGTAAACAGGACCGAGAAGGTCATCTCAGAGGCTGGTGTGCAACGAGGTAGGAGGGCGGGGGTCAGTGCAGGGCAGGGGTAGGTCGGGTAACCCCACTAGCAGGGATGGGTCCTCCAGGAAGGAGCCAGGCAGAGGGCTGTGCAGAGGAAGCTGGGAGGGGCTGAGGCCAGAGGCAGACAGATCCAGGACTGACCACCCAGGCCCTTGTAGGTCAGGGCGAGGAACAGGGATTTTAATCCATGTCTGAGGGGAATCACTGAGCGTTTTAAGCAGAGGAAGAACTTGATCGGATTGTGTTTTAAAAGGATCACCTGGCTGGCTGGCTGCTGCATGGAGGACAGACGGGGGTAGGCGAGGGGGGACAGGGAAGAGGCCCCTGTGGTCATGGTGGCTAGGATGCGGGGACCAGGGCACAGCAATGGTGGTAGGAACAGCGGTGGGAGTCCATATAGGTTTCAGAGGAAGGGCCAACAGAACTTGTTCTGAGAATGGTTGTGGGAGCTAAGAGCCTGAGTTTCTGGCAGGAGCACCTGGTTGAGGTGGGGTGTCTGTTACTAAGCCAGTGAGGGTTGGGGTACGGACCTGTCGGGGCAATGGAGGCTCTGTTTTGAGAGTATTGGTACATGCACACTGTCCTTCATCCTCACAACAGCCCTGCCAGGCAGACACTGACCCTCTCACGCTGCCGCCTCTTGCAATGGTGGAAAGAAGTTGCAGCCCAGAGAAGGCAAGCTACTTGCCCAGAGTCACACTGTCTGGAAGGGGCAGAAGCGATATTGGAGCTGATTCTCTTAGGCTCCAGTGCCCTCCCTCCTTCATCCTCATCCCTGATGTCCCTTATTGTTGATTTTTTTTTTTTTTAATAGAGATGGGGTTTCACCATGTTGGCCAGGCTGGTCTTGAACTCCTGAGCTCAAGGAGTTCTGATCTGCCCCACTGGGCCTCCCAAAGTGCTGGGTTTATAGGCACGAGGCACCCATCCCTAGCCCCCTCCTATTTTTTTTTTTTTTTTTTGAGACGGATTCTCGCTCTGTCACCCCGGCTGGAGTGCAGTGGCTCGATCTCAGCTCACTGCAACCTCCACTGCCCAGGTTCAAGCAATTCTCGTGCCTCAGCCTCCTGAGTAGCTAGGAATACAGGGGTGTGCCACCACGCCCGGCTAGTTTTTTTGTATTTTTAGTAGAGATGGGATTTCGCCATGCTGGCCAGGCTGGTCTCAAACTCCTGACCTCTGGTGATCCGCCCACCTTGGTTTCCCAAAGTGCTGGGATTACAGGCATGAGCCACAGTGCCCGGCCCCGCCGCTTATTCTTGATTTTAATCTGTGAGGACCCTGGCACACTGACAGGGGAGATGGAGACCCAGGGTCTCATGGTGCAGTGGTAGGGAAGGGTAGAGTGATCTGTCCTCTTCCTTCCCTTCCCTCCCTCCACAAAGGAGTCTGGGGGCCTGTATTCCAGCCCAGTTTCTGCCTAGGCCACAGAAAAGCGCCTGAACCCCAGTTTATCCTTATGCAAAAGATCAGGGCAGCCCTGGGCTGGGTGGGGGCCCAGCCTTTCTCAGCTCAATAGTCAGCAATTCTGAGCATGGCTTCAGTGCTTACTCCCCACTCCCTTTTTGGAATGCCAGTTCCAGAAGGGTGGGAGGCAGTGGGAGCCACAGAAGGGGTCTGTCTGAGCCAGACCAGGGAAAGCTCAGATCCATGCGATGGCGTAGACAAATCCCTCTTGGGTAGGGTTGCCAGATCAAATTCAGGACTTCCAGTTACATTTGAGTATCGGATGCCCAATACATAATTTTCTAGTATAAGTATCTCCCCAGCATTGCACCGGGCGTACTTATAGCAGAGTGGTTTGCTGTTTGCTGAATCTGGCAGCCCTATTCTAGGGTCCATGGGGGGATGGATGGGGAGGGGGCCATGCTTCCTTCTGCAGGGGAGAGAACGAGGCCTCAGCTGCGGCAGGGGCATTGGGCATTGAGAGTAGATGGATGAAGACATTCCAGAAGCAGAAAGGACAAAACTGGGCAACTGCCTGGCTGTGGGGGGCAGAGGGCGGGGCCCTCCGGAAGGTCCCTCTCTCCTCAGTGTGCACGGGCTGGCTGGCCGTGTGACCTTGGGAAGGTCCCTCAACTCTGCTCCTCATCTTCTAACCTGTTAGGTGGGATAATCATAGTTCCTTCTTCATAGCATTGTTATGAGGCATCGATGAGTTACCACCTGTGAAATGCAACAGGGTCAGGTACTTGGTGAAGCTATGCACATGTGAGGTCTTTGATGGGAAGACTGGCCGGGGAAAGGCATCCTCGGGTGTGTGTTTTAGAACAGCTCTTACTGGTTTTGTTTGTTTGTTTGTGACAGAGTTTCGCTCTTGTTGCCCAGGCTGGAGTGCAGTGGCACAATCTTGGCTCACTGCAACCTCTGCCTCGTGGATTCAAGCGATTCTCCTGCCTCAGCCTCCCGAGTAGTTGGGATTATAGGCGCCCACCACCATGCCCGGCTAACTTTTTCTATTTTTAGTAGAGACGGGGTATCACCATGTTGGCCAGACTGGTCTTGAACTCCTGACCTCAGGTGATCCACCCGCCTGGGCCTCCCAAAGTGCTGGGATTACAGGTGTGAGCCTCCGCGCCCGGCCAGCTCCTACTGTTTTATAAGGGGATTTTTTTTTTCAATCCTCACAGCCATCCAGTGAAAAAAAAACAAACAAAAAAAACTCGTCCTTCCTCACGGTACGGGTGGGAAGCAGAGTCAGCCACGCTCACCTGCCTATGGCCGTGCAGCCTGCGGCAGAGCCCAAACTGGAGCCTGCAGGACACCAGATATCTTTCCTCCTGGGCACCCTGCCCACCCCTGCCTGTCCAGTGTATGAACAGCACAAGCCGCAGGGGAGCTGGACAGGTGCCCACTCTTGCAATCCCAGGTTTATAAGTGAGGGAACTAACTGAGGTACAGAGAAGTTAGGTGACTTGCCCTTGGTCAGGAGGTAGGACTGGAACCCAGGCAGTCTTGCTCCAGAACTCACTAAGCGGCAGCCTCTAGGAGGGAGGGAGAGGCAGGAGGACGGAGAGAGGAGAGAAGACAAGGAAGGAAAAGGTGGCAGGAAGGGACGGGGAGGGTGGGATGGGGACCCAGCGGGGAGTGCGGGAGTTGGGGGGAAAGGGAGGGAGGAGGGAAGGAATATGGATAATGCTTGATAGGTAGGTAGACGACAGGTTATAAATAGGTAGAGAATAGATATAGGACAGATAAATCATATAAACAGAGGATACAGAGATATCCTCAGGCGCAATGGCAGGGGTCCAAGGAGAAGGAGGAGGTAGTTCTGTGGGTCGAGACAGAGGCCCCCCGTGGGAGAAGAAATTGGGAGGGGAGGGGCTTCACCTTGTGCAGGCTGCGGCAGTGTAGCAGTGCCACCAACTGGTGGAAATTTCCTTCTGTCACATTCAGAGTCTCCTCCAAGGACAGCAGAGGCTTCTGCGGGGCGAGGAGGGGTCGTTTTCCCACGAACTCTTCAGGCCCGCCCATCGCCCTGGCCCCGCCCTGCGTCCCCGCCCACAACCCAAGGCCCCGCCTAGCTCTGCAGCCCCGCCTACGCCCCACAGCTCCATCCCGCCCCGTCCGCCTTCCCCGTGGGGTCCGCGTGTCTGGGGAGCGCCCACCCACCGACCTGCGCTGAAGGGAACTGAGGCACAGCTTCTCGCTCCAGGCCCAGCAGCTGGGAGTGGATGTTGGCCAGAGCTCGCTGGGACAGAGTCAGCCTCTGCAGAAAGAGAAAGGGAGGGAGGAGGACCCAGGAGTATACGCCCCCGGCCCTCTCTCCTCTCCTCCGGACACAGCACTCGGGCCCCTGGCCTGCATCCTCCCCGGAACCCAGGAGTCCAGGCCCCAGCCCCAGCCCCGCCCCCTCCCTTCAGAGTCCAGATTTCTGGCTCCCTCAACACCCGTTTCCCCTGCCCGCAGCCCTAACCTGTTGGAAGGGGTTGGAGACGGCCCGGTTGCAGAGGAGATAATAGCTCAGGATGTCTGAAGTGGGAGGAGGAGAGGGGAGGAGGCCATGAGCCTGGGCCCCCAGGGATCTCCCGGGGGAAGGCCGGGCACTGGGGGGTTAGCAGGGTTAGGGGCCTCAGCCCAGCCCTGGAGCCCGATGGCCTTACCTTCAGAGACCCGCCAGCCCCGCGTCCCTTCTGCTCCTGCCACAGCCAGAGCAGGCGCTGGTGGGCAACCCTATACTCCCTGGGAACCCCTGACTAAATGGTGCTCCCCAGTTTTCTCCAGGGGGCCAAACTCCCCATTCCTGACGCCCAGGAGCACCCTCTCCTGACCCTCCTCTCTCTTCCTGGCACCATTATCTTTATCCTGCCCTCTTTTCCAGCCCACCAGGAGAGGCGCTGCCAGCTGGAGCAGAAGGGATGAGGGTCTGGCGGGTGGCGGGGCTCCAGGAGGGCTCCGAGCTGGGGAGTGGCCAGGAGCCCTGCTTCCCTTCCAGAGGGCTGGGTCTCGCCTGGCAGGCTGCACCCCCACCCCACCCTGGGCAGGACCGGGCACAGAGGAGGCCTGAGGAAGCCAGGGCCTGCACTGCCCAACCCGGCGGACCCACCGGGCCCTTGGAAATCACCTGAGCTGAGCCCTGTCTCCTCCTGGGTCAGGTTCAGAACATAAGGGTCTGGATTGGAGCAGAAGTCACTGAGGCCCTGCGTGAGGCAGCAGAAAAGGGGCTCAAACCCAAAACTGCCCCGATTCCACACTCCCACAGCACCCAGTGCCTGGCTCCCCAGCTCCCCTCCCCACCCAGGGGTCCAGGTCCCAGCCCCTCTTCCCTCAGACTCAGGAGTCCAGGCCCCAGGCCCCTCGTCCCTCAGACTCAGGGGTTCAGACTCTCCAGCCCTTTCTCCCTCAGACTCAGGAGTCCAGGCCCCCAGCTTCTCCTCCCTCACACCCAGGAGTCCAGACCCCCAGCCCCTCCTCCCTCAGACCTAGGAATCCAGGTTTCCAGCCCCTCCTCCATTACAGCTCAAACGTCCAGGACACCAATCTGTACCCACTCAGGCCCCAGGAAACAAGCCCTAAACCTCAGAGCTGTGATCGTGCCCCCCAATTCCTTTCTCTACTAAGCCATGCCATCCCGAGATCCAGAAGTTGAAGTCTCCAGGCCCCCTGAGTCCCAGAGCCCAATGGCCCGGCCCTGGCACTCACCACGGCCGTGGCTGCCTCCAGGCCCATGGAGCCCCAGCTCAGGACGAGAACCAGGAGACTCATGACTGTCATCCTAGAGTGGGGGAGGGAGGATCAGCCCGGGGTTCTTAATCTCCTAGCCTAGCCTCTTTCCACACCCCAAATCCCATCACAGCCGCCCCCCACCTCCACCCACCTCTGGAGCCTGGAGGATCAGAATTAGGGAAACACAAGTTCAGTGGTTGGGGGTAGGCCAGTGGCTGCTGATGTCCAGCAGGACATCTGGCTCCTGCCCAGATGAGCAGGGTGTGGGGTATGAGCAGGGCCCTGGGCTGGGTGGTCGCAGCTTGGATCCCAGCTCCAGGACCCTGGGACGGTGACTGCTCACCTCTGGGCTCACTTCCCCCGAAGGCTCCCCCAAGTCCACCCACAGCCTGATCAGCCTCTGGCTCTGCCCTGTCTCCTCTGAGAATGGGAGACAGTGCCAGGGCTGAAATCTGAAAGTCTCTGGACTTTCCGGGTGGGGAGGGGTGCAGGGGGCGTGTCAGCATTGGTAGGGTGACCAGTAAGCAAGAAGGGCACCCAGGGGTCCCCAAACTGAAGGCCTGGCTTCCAGTCCCAGACCTGCCCTGTGTTGGCTAGGTTTATGGGTCTGCAAGCCTTACGCGGGGTCTCTCCCACTCTCTCAGGGGCAATGGAGGTACAGGTTCAACTCCGCCTCACCCCACTAGGGCCAGAGAGAATGCAGGGACTCCTCCAATGAGAATGGCCTGTCTGGTTCAAATCCCAGCTCTAGCACTTCTAGCTGTGTGGCCCTGAGCAAGTGGTCCAACCTCTCTGATCTTCAGTCTCTCCCTCTGTTAAACAGGGAGAAGGGCCAGGCATGGTAGCTCATGCCTGTAAACCCAGTACTTTGGAAGGCTGAGGCAGGCTGATCACTTGAGGCCAGGAGTTCGAGACCAGCCTGGGCAACATAGCAAGACTCCATCTCTACAAAAATATACAAAACTTAGGCCAGGCACGGTGGCTCATGCCTGTAATCCAGGCACTTTGGGAGGCTGAGGCGGGCGGATCACCTTAGGTCAGGAGTTTGAGACCATCCTGACCAACATGGAGAAACCCCATCTCTACTAAAAATACAAAATTAGACAGGTTTGGTGGCATACGCCTGTAATCCCAGCTACTTGGGAGGCTGAAGCAGGAGAATTGCCTGAACCCAGGAGGCAGAGGTTGCAGTGAGCCAAGATCGTGCCGCTGAACTCCAGCCTGGACAACAAGAGCCAAATTGCAGCTCAAAAAAAAAAAAAAAAAAAAAAAAAAAACTTAGCCGGGAGTGGTGGCATAAGCCCATGGTCCCAGCTACTCTGGAGGCTGAGGTGGGGGGATCACTTGAGCCTCAGGGGACAGAGGCTGTAGTGAGCCGTGATCATGCCACTGCACTCCAGTCTGGGCAACAAAGCAAGACCTTCTCAAAATAAAAAACAGAAATAAAAAACAGGCAGAAGGAAGCACCTTCCTCACAGGGGGCATGAGGTGCTCCAGGGAGTGCAGAGAAGAGTGTCGGGCGCGTAGAGCGAGCTGTGAAATCAGTGTGGTCCTGCGGCTTTGCCACGACACTTAAGGACGGCTCAGTCTCGGACTTGGCCACCCTCTGCGCTCTTAGTCAGGTCCCTGACCGGCCACATGGAGCCTTATGGTAGCTCCTTCATGGGGTGGAGGCAACTGAAGGACTCAGCGTGCATGACCCTCAATAGATCATCATCCTCATCTGTTTTTTTTTGTTGTTGTTGTTGTTGTTTTTGAAATGGAGTCTCACTGTGTCGCCCAGGCTGGAGTGCAGTGGTGCAATCTCAGCTCACTGCAACCTCCGCCTCCCGGGTTCAAGCGATTCTCCTGCCTCAGCCTCCCGAGTAGCTGGGACTATAGGCGCCCGCCACCACGCCCGGCTAATTTTTGTATTTTTAGTAGAGATGGGGTTTCACCGTGTTAGCCAGGATGGTCTCGATCTCCTGACCTCGTGATCCGCCCTCCTCGGCCTCCCAAAGTGCTGGGATTACAGGCGTGAGCCACCACGCCCAGCCTTTTTTTTTTTTTTTTTTTTTTTTGAGATGGAGTGTCACTCTGTCGCCCAGGCTGGAGTGCAATGGTGTGATCTTGGCTCACCACAACCTCCACCTCCTGAGTTCAAGCGATTCTCCTGCCTCAGCCTCCTGAGTAGCTGGGACTACAGGCGCATGCCACCACACCCAGCTAATTTTTGTATTTTTAATAGAGACAGGGTTTCTCCATGTTGGTCAGGCTGGTCTCAAACTCCTGACCTCATGATCCACCCACCTCGGCCTCCTAAAGTGCTGGGATTACAGGCGTGAGCCACCGCGCCTGGCCTCATCCTCATCTTTATTGCCAACACAATGATTATTTCTGCCATGATTCCAGCATACTTCATACTGTTAGGGCTGCCTGTTTTCAGGTCTGTCCCCGCCTCCCTCCTGGGCTGCTCTGACTCTCTTTTCTTCGTGTGTACCCGGCCGTGAAGGACCACGGTCCTCCGTGTAGGAGAGTTGTAAGACTGAGGTCCTGCCTGCCAGGAGAGTGCCAGGCAAGCACTGGGTCCCCCTACTGCCTGCACTTACACGATCACCAGCCACTTGCTCTGCTTCGCCAGGCCCAGGAGGGTGAAGAGGCAGACCAGCAGCTCCAGGAGCAGCAGGAGGACGTAGGCCAGCCACCTGGGAGGGGAGAGGGTAGGGCTGAAACCACAAACCTGCCTCCAGGCACCCCGGCGGAACAGCAACCCTCCACCAGCATTCACCCTGCCCCCCAGCTCAGCCTCACATTCACCACCCTCCAAGCTCAGCCTCCTGCTGTTTACTGTGTCTGGGCCACAGCCCAGGTCCTCTGTGAAATAGTGTTATCATGAGACAGGACACTGGAGCGGTTTAGAATACAGGTCCTGAGCACCTGGGACTATCCCCTGGCCGGGCCACACACATGTGCCCTGTGACCAGGGACACGTGATGTGTTCTCTCCGAGCTCCCCATCCCCAACCCCACCCTGCAGAGTGGAGATACTCGTTCTCAAGACTGCACCAAAGATCCCATCGCATCCCTGGAGGGCATGACGTCTGGAGGCAGAGGCTGCCTGGTCTCAACCCCAGCCCCTCCGCTTAACTGGCCGGGTAACTCTTGTCTCGGTAACCTTAGCCTCTCGTTCCTCAGTTTCCCTACATGTAACGTGGGGAGCACAACAACACTGGCTTGAGAATATTGCCTCGAGTGGGCTGCATGACTAGAAGTGCTTAGGAGAGTGCCAAGCACGTGGACACACTTAGAGGTTAGCCTGAGCGTGAACGAGGGAACTGAGATGTTAGTTAATAGTTAATACTTGGCCGGGCGAGGTGGCTCACGCCTGTAATCCGCGCATTTTGGGAGGCTGAGGCAGGCGGATCACTTGAGGTCAGGAGTTTGAGACCAGCCTGGCCAACATGGTGAAACCCCGTCTTTACTAAAAATACAACAATTAGCCGGGCGTGGTGGTGCACGCCTGTAATCCCAGCTACTTGGGAGGCTGAGGCAGGAGAATCATTTGAACCCATGAGGTGGAGGTTGCAGTGAGCCAAGATTGCACCACTGCACTCCAGCCTGGGCGACAAGAGTGAGACTTAGTCTCAAAAATGAAAAAAAAAAAAGTTAATCCTTAAATATCAGTGAAGGGCCCACCACCATGATTCAGGAGGTGCAAGCATGCAAGCCACAGTGAGAGACAGGACTAGCTGGATGTCCGAGGCCGACTAATAATCCCTAAGCCTAGCTGGGAAGGTGACCGCATCCACCTTTAAACACGGGGCATGCAATTTAGCTCACACCCAACCAATCAGGTAGTAAAGAGAGCTCACTAAAGTGCTAGTTAGGCAAAAATAGGAAGTAAAGAAATAGCCAATCATCTATCACCTGAGAGCACAGGGGAAGGGACAATGATCTGGATAGAAACCCAGGCATTCCAGCCAGCAACGGCTACCCACTTTGGGTCCCCTCCCGTTGTATGGGAACTCTGTTTTCACTCTATTAAAACTTGAAACTGCACACTCTTCTGGTCCGTGTCTGTTACGGCTTGAGCTGAGCTTTCGCTCGCCGTCCACCACTGCTGTTTGCCGCCGTCGCAGACCCGCCGCTGACTTCCACCCTCCGGATCCGGCAGGGTGTCCACTGTGCTCGTGATCCAGGGAGACACCCATTGCCGCTCCCAATCGGGCTAGAGGCTCGCCATTGTTCCTGCACAGCTAACTGCCTGGGTTCATCCTGATCGAGCTGAACACTGGTCGCTGGGTTCCACGGTTCTCTTCCGTGACCCACGGCTTCTAATAGAGCTAAAACACTCACCGCAGGGCCCAGGATTCCATTCCTTGGAATCCGTGAGGCCAAGAACCCCAGGTCAGAGAACACGAGGCTTGCTGCCCTCTTGGAAGTGGCCACCACGATCTTGGGAGCTCCGGGAGCAAGGACCCGCCGTAACAACAGCACAGTGCCCGGCACGTAGTAAGTGCTCATGTAATCCTCCTGCCATTCTCTGCAGGCCCCACAAGCTTGGGCTTCACTCCTTACCCTGGTCTCTGGCTGCTTCCGCCCAGCCTCGCAAGTGCTCCCCTCCAGCAAGACTCCCTTGGAGGCCCCTGATTTGTCTGTCGAGGGACTCCCAAGTGTGGGGTGCTTTCGCAGTGGTGCACCCGGAAGATATTTTCTAGCGATGGTGGGTCTGCCTCACCCTGGCATCACCCTTATGGCTCCCACCACTTCCCTGCCCTCGCCCAGGAGAAGGAGCTGAGGCCCGGCTTGTGCAGCCCCTGGGCCTGACCACAATGCAGAACCTGGACTTCTTCAAACCCAGGCTTGTCTGTCTCTTGCACCTGCTGCCCTGCGGGTGTGTCCTGACCTCCAGCTTTTTCAGCCCCAGTCGGCCTTCCCCGCTGGAGCGCAGCATCCCGGAAGGCCTCCCAAATCTCAGCGCATGCCCCGCGGGCAGGGCCTCCAGCTGACGTCGGATAAATGAATGAATGAATGAATGATTACTAATGGTCAAAGCAATGAGGACACCGTCATGGTGGCCGCTGGGAAGGGTGGCTGCCTGGACACTGCACAGCTCACTGCCTCCTCTCCTCCAAATGCCACCTTCTCAGTCCCCCTGATGAACTGCCAGACTCTGTCCCACCTCATCTCCCTCTATAATTTTCTTTTTTTTTTTTTAAGACGGATTCTCGCTCCGTCACCCAGGCTGGAGTGCAGTGGCACGATCTCTGCTCACTGCAAGCTCCACTTCCCGGGTTCAAGCGATTCTCCTGTCTCAGCCTCCCAAGTAGCTGGGACTACAGGCGCCCACCACCACGCCCGGCTAATTTTTGTATTTTTAGTAGCGACGGGATTTCACCGTGTTAGCCAGGATGGTCTCGATCTCTTGACCTCGTGATCCGCCTGCCTCGGCTTCCCAAAGTGCTGGGATTACAGGCGTGAACCACCGTGCCTGGTCCCCTCTGTAATTTTCTCCAAAGTTCTCATGGCCCAACACCTTACAATGTTTTTCTCTGCGTTTGTCCCTTGCTGGTTCCCCCCGGAGGACGCAGCCACGTGGCAGGGATTTCTGCCACTTGCTCACTGCCCGGCCCGCCACCGGGGTGACTACACTTCATATCTCTGCGGTGCTCTCCCTGTGCTAATCGTCCTTCTCAGCACTCAGATGCCAACTCAACAACTCGAACCAATTCAACAAGGGGGACGCTGCCCCGATTCCCATTTCACAGATGGGGAAACCAAGGCAGAGGTCTGCAAAGTAACTTGATTGCAGCCGCGTGGTTAGGGTGGGGCTGGCTGGCTTTCGAGCTCAGGTTCCTGATCTGTAGGTACGCTGCCTCTTTCACCAGAGGGTGCTAAATAAATAGTGCTGAACAACACTTTGAGAGGCCAAGGCGGGCAGATCACAAGGTCAGGAGTTTGAGACCAGCCTGGCTAACATGGTGAAACCCCGTTTCTACTAAAAATACAAAAATTAGCCGGGCGTGGTGGCGCCTGCCTGTAATGCCAGCTACTTGGGAGGCTGCGGCAGGAGAATCGCTTGAATCCAGGAGGCGGAAGTTGCAGTGAGTCGAGATCGCACCGCTGCACTCTAGCCTGGGCGACAGAGTGAGACTCCATCTCAAAAAAAAAAAAAAAAATAGTGCTGAACAAATACACATGTCACACGGATGAACGACTGAGTGAGTGGCCTGCTGGGTTAGTCCAGGAGTAACTGAGTCCAAGAGTGACTTGCTGAATGAGTGAGTCAAGGAATGAACGCATGTGTGAATAAGTGAGTGGAGTGACGTGGAGGGGGTGAGTGAGTGAATGGGTGAGGACATGGGTGTCAGGATGGCCATGGGGTCTGGTGATCTGTCCCTCCACAGTAGGTTTCTCAACCTCATCTTTTTTTTTTTTTTTGAGATGGAGTCTCACTCTATCGCCCAGGCTGGAGTGCAATGGTGAAATCTCGGCTCACTGCAACCTCCATTTCCCGGGTTCAAGGGATTCTCCTGCCTCAGCCTCCTGAGTAGCTGGCATTACAGACATCTGCCGCCACGCCCAGCTAATTTTTGTATTTTTGGTAGAGACGGGGTTTCTCCACGTTGGCCAGGCTGGTCTCAAACTCCTGACCTCAGGTGATCCACCCACCTTGGCCTCCTAAAAGTGCTGGGATTACAGGCCTGAGCCACCGCGCCTGGCCAGCCTCGTCATAATTGTCATGGTGGCTGGATCATTCCCTGCCAATGGGTGGGGAGGGGGTTCTTGTGCATTGCAGGGTGTTGAACAGTTCCTGGGCTCTACCCATTGGATGCCAGCAGTGCGCACACACTCCCCAGCTGTCACAACCAAAACTGCCTCCAGGCATTGCCAACTGTCCCCCCGGGGACTCCGCCTGAGAGCTGCCGGCACAGAGAGCAAGAAGAGCAGCGTCTCACCTGTACTCCTCCACAAAGGACACATTTTCAGCCACCTGCAGGGGGCTCAGGGGCACTCCCTGCCAGAAGGCCAGCCCCTGCAGCTGCTGGGCCGCAGCCTCCGCCTGCCGTCGAGCCCCTCGGGCGGCAGCCACCAGCTCCGTGCGCGGCTCGAGCACCTCCTCCAGGGTGGTCAGCTCTGTCCTCACCGCCTCGCCCAGCCTCTCCACCGTCTCCAACACCTGGGGATAGGACAGGGGCTGAGGTCTGGAAGGACATCCTGGGGGGAGCCCGCGGTCGAGGCATGGGGTTTTAGAAGTGAAGGAGGGGTGCATAGTAGCGGGTGTCTGAGATCTGGAGTCTGGGACATCTGAGGATTGAGTAAGGGAAGGGATTGGGGAGGGGCTTCAAGATCAAGTTCATGGAGTTCTGTGGCCTCTATCCAGAGCTCTGGATGGTTGGTAGCTTGAGCCCAGGGTAGTAAGTCCAGCCCCAGGACTGAGATTAAGTGTGGAGCTTTAGGTCTGAAGTTTTCATCTGCCTTCCAGAATCTGGGGTCTCAAGTCTGGGTCCCATGGTCTAGAGTCTGCAGCTGGACATGGAATCTAAGGCATGAAGTGGGGCCAGGCCTCAGCCCCAGGGCCCAGAATCCTGGAGCTGATGTCGGAGCTGAAGCCTCAAGTCGGGGACCTGGGCCTCAGGGCGGGGGTCCCTGAGCTTGCTTACGGGCCAAGAATCAGGTCTGGGGCCCTGGATCTGGCCCGTGGACAGGGGCTGGTGTCGCTGGTGCTTGGTTTCTGTGTGGCTTGGGGGTTCCAGGTAAGGTCCAGGGCTGGGCCTGTGTGTGAGGTCCTCAATTTGCAGCCAGGGTCGGGGGTTGGGTGGATAGTCTGAGGTCTGTGGGTCTCAGGATGAAGTTCTGAATCTGGGTTCCTAAGCTTCAAGCCTGGGGTCTTAGCTCTGAGTTTGGATCCCTTTGTCCTTGGGTGTGGGGAGCCCGTCCAGGTGTGGGTCTGGGGTCCCACTGGTTGCTGGCCCCTCACCAGGTGGTCAATGGTGCTGAGTGTGTGGTTGGCGTGCAGCAGCGCAGAGCTGAGCTGGGACACCCCATCACTGGTCTCACTGTTGCCATAGAAACCGATGCCAATGCCAGTGCTGAGCGGAGGAGGAGGGAGAGGAATCTCAGCGGGTCCCAGGACCCCGGGGGCCACCGTCCCCTCCCACCCCATCCCCTCCACCTCGCCTTCTTATCCACCCCTCCCATCTCAGCCCCACCTCATTGGGCCAGCCCGTGGGAAAAGGGCGACTTCAGCCTGGCCCCCGTCGGTTGCCAAGGGAACGGGAAGGCCTCACTCCCCCAGCGGAGGGACGTCATTGTGATGTTAATGGTGGGTGGAGTGGTGGGGGGGAGGGAGCCCCCGATTTAACTCGCACCTCCCTGGAGCAGAACCCCAGTCACACCCAGCTCCGGGATGGGCCGTCTTCCCCTCCCTAGGACTGCCTGCCCCACACCCTTCCCCCGCATCCTTTGCCAGGCAGGCAGCCCTCCTGGCACCTGTCCTAGGGTGCCCTAGGGTCCTTGGGGCCTGCAGTGCCAACCCTTCAGTGCTGAGACGTTCTCCGCCCCCACCTCCTGGGGGTTCCTAAGGGTACAAGGGGGGCAGCTGCCACCATCTCCTGGGGGGACGCTGAGCCTGGAGCTCTCGGCCTTCCCCCACCCGGGACCCAAGCGTCGGGCCAGCTGGGAGGGAAGTAAGGGAATGTGGGAGGGAGGCTGGAGGATGGGCGAGAAGCCGTGCCCCCGCCCCCACCCTACCGACACACAGAGCTCCATTGTGGGACCTGAATGTGGGGCCCCAGACCCCTCCCGTCCCCGCCCCCGGCCGGTGTCCCGCAGTGGAGGGGGCGGGAGCCTGACACCCTCCCGGTTCCCAGCCCCGGCTGGGCCTCCACCCCCATCCCTCGGGTCGGACGCCCAGTGTCCCCGCCCCATTGTTCAGAGTCCTACAAAGCTCCTCTTGTTCCCAGGCTGCGGGGGCTGGGGCCGTGTCTCTCCCCCACTGGGCCTTTGTCCACCTCCCCTGTCTCCCCCCACGCCAGAGAGCCGGAGGAGGAAGCGTCCTGAATACAGGCCACCCCTACAGGTCCCTCCCCTTGCCCGTTGTGGGTCCGGGGCAGGCGTCTGGCCCTCTGGGACCCCCCGTCTGTGGAAGAGGATTGCTGTCTGT
Organism: Homo sapiens; assembly: GCF_000001405.40. NCBI lineage: Eukaryota > Metazoa > Chordata > Mammalia > Primates > Hominidae > Homo > Homo sapiens. Next base: position 324,897 of record NW_003571060.1, on the reverse strand, counting down.
AACCTGTGGGTGCTGCCCTGCCGGGGAGGGGGCTGTGCTCAGAGCTCGTTCTTGGTAGCTGGTGTGTTCACATTGGAAGCCCCCTAAGCTCGCTTTGAGGGGTGTGAGGGGGTCCTACTAACCTGGGTCTGAATCTCTGTGCTGCCTCTTAAGCCACGTGGCCTTGAAAGGTGACCTCCCCTCTGTCCCTGAGCCTTCCTCTTTGGAAACTGGGCCTGACACCCCTGAATCCAGCAGCATTATTGTGAGAAGGAATTAGACCAGCTCAGGTCTGGGCACAGATGAGGTGCTCTTGGAGGGTGATTATATCTATTTATCGTCCGTCTCCCTGATTAGAACATAAGCTGCACGAGGGGCTCCTTGCCTGGCTTGGTCAGTATCTGGCACATAGTAAATACTCAATAAACAGTTGTCGAATGAATGAGCTGGTGAATGACGGAATGACAGACATCACCAGTTAATGTTGGCTGAGAGTAGCTGCAAGTCAGACACTGTGCTTTCTCTCCATCTTACCCCCGCAGGAGGTGGGCGAGATGATAATGCCCAGTTTACAGACGTGGAAATTGAGGCCCAGGGAGACTATCACTCCCTTAGGTCACACAGCTATTCAATGGGAGAGCCACCAAAACCAGGCCATCTGACTGCCCCTGCGCCTTCTCACCAGATGGCTGCCCTTGATTCACTTCCTCTCCAGAGCCTCACTTTCTCCATCCATCAAATGGGACAGTCCTTCCTGCTGTGCGCTGAAGTGGGCTTGCAAATGGCAGGGACAGGGACGAGGGAGTTTCCTCCTTCCTGTCTGCTTCCTCCATGTCCCCGGAGGACACCCCCAGGAAGGCCAGCAAAGAGCTTGGGGAGCCCTGTCCCCACCGCCCACCCACCCTGGGGCCCCATTACCAGCCGGCGAGAAGGGCGACAATGCAGCTCCAGGTGACGCAGCCTCCCCCGGGCGAGGGGATCTTGGACCCGGGGGGCTCGGGGGGCCGGCAGCAGCAGAAGCGGATGAGGTAGACAGCGATGAAAATGAGGCTCAGGCCCAAGCCCAGGCCCGCCAAGGCCGCCACCAGCAACAAGGCCTGGGGAAGGGGGTGACATCAGACCTCCGAGGGCACCCGTGTGTTCCACACTCAGATCCCCCTTCCTGCGTGGCTGGGGGGTCGGGGTCTGGGATGTCAGAGTGAAGGTGGGAGACATCCCTGGCCTAATCTTGGGGGAGATTGGGTCCCAGCCCCTCCCAGGCTGGCAGCTGGGGCTCCAGGTGTCAGGGCCAGCTTGCTGGAGGGAGCTTCCAACTGGGGGCCCCAAGCCTTGGGTCCCAATTCTGCTCTGCCCTCCATTGGCTGTGCAATCTTTAGCAGGAACCGCCCCTTCTCCGAGCCTGGGTTTCCTTCTCTCTGCAGCCAGCAGTTGGAATGGAGGTTTTCCCAAGGACCTGCCAAGGCCCCTCCACAATCGTGTGGGATCAGGGGGCGGGTGGGGGTGTGGGGGCACCTGTTCCTGGTGCCTCGGGCCAGGCTGGGGGAGGCGTGCTTCCTCCCCCTCTCCTCCCTGCTCACTGTCTCCCCTGCTGCTGAGCGCTACACCCCACAGCGCCTGAGCTTGTCACCCAGGGACGGGACGAGGGGCTGTGTGGCAACGTGTGTGTGTGTGTGTATGCAAGACTCAGAAATGGAAACTGGAAGAGTGAAGACAGAACAGAAAGAGAGAGAGAGAGAGATGGAGGGAGGCACAGGCAGAAAGACACAACCAAAAAAAGAGACAAAGATAAGACAAGGTTCGGGCATGAGTCAGAAAAAGGCAGAGAGCAAAAGGGATCAAATCAGAGAGGAAGAGCAGAGTAAGGGAGAGAGAGCGTGAGAACACTATGGAGACGGGAGAGACACACAAGGACAGAGAGGCGGAGAGAGCCAAGGCCCGGAAGACAGGCAGGCCGCGGAAACGTTCTGCGGTGGGCAGAGCCTTGCAGAATAACAGGGCTCTCCACGTGGCGGGGATTTCACAGCTGACCTGTGCGGTCCCAGAGGCCCACAGTGGCCCAGGGGGTTTGCACTGAGCCCCGGAGCATGGAGGGACAACATTGGGATCAGAGTCACACCTCTGGACTTGCCAAGGCTGTTTCCCCTAAACCACGGTGTTTCTGCCTTTGTCCACACACATACACACACACAGTGGCACAGTGTGTGTGTGTGTGTGTGTCCCAAGTGTGTGCAGTGTTTGTGTTTCTGGTTGAGACTGGATGTTTTTATCTTTGGGCTGTCTCCATGAGATGAGGGGGCACCTGAGTGTGTCTCCTGGGTGCACTGCTGTCTGCAAATGAGAACATCTGTGGGCATTTGTGTGTTCTGGGCACAGTTCCTTGGGCCTGTGAGTGGGTCCGGTTGTGTGTGTGTAACAGTGTGGATGAGTGTGTGTGTGGATGCGTGACTGCATGTGAGTGTGTGTGTGCACATGAATGCTATAGTCAATATGTGTGTGCATGTGTGTGTAGATGTGAATGGAATGTACGTGTGTGTGTGTATGGGAGTATAAACGTGTATGTGACGGTGCATGCATGAGTGTGTAAGCATATATATATAAGTGCAGTGTGTGCTTGTATATGGGAGTAAATGCTTATACATGTGTATGTGTGTGTTGTGAGTCACTGTGCGCAATGTGCGTGTGCATATGTGTGATTGTGTATGTGTAAGTGGGTATATCCATGTGAGTGTATGCATGTGTCTATATGCGTGTGTTGTATGTGGGTGTGAGTGCATAGCGGGAGTAGTAAATGGGTATGTGTGTGTGCATATGTGAGTGTGTAATGAGAGTAGGTGGGCGTGTGTGTGTACCTGTGCATATGTGTGTGTGCATGTGTGTAATGAAAGTAAGTGGGCGTGTCTGAGTGTGTGCATGTGAGTGTGCATGTGAGTGTGTAATGGGAGTAAGTGGGTGTGTCTGAGTGTGCCTGTGCATATGTGTGTGCATGTGAGTGTGTTGGAATAAGTGGGCGTGTCTGGGTGTGCCTGTGCATATGTGTGTGCATGTGAGTGTGTAATGGGAGTAAGTGGACGTGTGTGTGTGCTGTGCATATGCCAGTGAGTGTGTGCGTGTGGCTGTGTGCCTCCCCCGGGCCAGTGTCCCTGAGGCCCTGGCTGTGTCTGCAGCTGTACCCACGGTGGTCGCGTCCCTGCAGGGGTCCCCCTTGCCCTCCTCGGCTGTGGGGCTCTGCCCGCGCATCCCTGCCACCCTGACCCTGACCCCCGACCGTGGGGGCGGAGTGAGGCTCCCCCAAACCCGTGCCTCTGGCGGTGACTGGGGCCGCGGATCCCCGCGTGCGGCTTCGGGAGGTCTCCGGGCCAGAGCGGGCGTGAGTCTGGGCCGAGGCCGGAGCCGGTGGAGCGGCGTTGTTGGAGGTGGCCGTTGTGTAACCGCGAGGCTGTGGGCGAGGGGACGGCGGTCCCCGTGTGTGGGGAGAGGGGGCGGCGAGGAGCAGGCGGGGAAGAGCTGCTCAGGGCTGTGCCAGCCGTGACCCAAATAGCTCAGAACACAGCACTCATCCCCTCCGCGCTTTTCTGGGACCCCCTCCACGCCCCCTGAGCTCTCCAATCCCAGCCCCCTTCTCCCAGGAGCAACCCAAGACGGAGCCCAGGGGCTCAGGCCCCATCAGCAGGGCCAGGACCCGTCCTGGGGCCACATCGGGACTCCCAGCACCCCCACCCGTCCCCAGCTCAGCCAAGCCTTTCTCCTCATTAATCTCGAAGTCAAGGACTTGAATTAAACTGGGTCAGGGGACAGCTCTTTCGCCCATTGGAGCTGCCCCGAGCCGGGCCCCTTCCCCAGGGACACCGGCTTCTGTGAGGTTCCCACACCGGCCCCACCCTCGGGACCCGGGTCTGTCATCCCGAGGCTCCCCAAACCCAGCCTCATCTCGGCCCTCACCCCTGCAGCGCCCTGACCACCCCTTCTTTCTTGGGACGGGCAAGAAGCTTCCTCTCCCAGAGCCCCTTCATTTTCCAGCCCTGGTCCTCAGCCCCTGAAGCCCCCTTCCCCATTTCAGACTCTCAATCCCATCCCAGCACCGCAGCAGCCAGCGTTTTCCCCGCCACCGTTATCAGGTCCGCTGTCTCCTGGGTCCCACCTTATCTGGGACATATTCACCTGCTCTGATCCTGTGGGGCAGGGTCATCTTTTAGGGCAGGAAGAGTAGACCTACCCTCCCGATGACCCTGGAGGCCGGCTTCCCAGGCAGGTATCAGACACCCGGGAATCCGGGCCCCCCTCCCCTCCTCTCCATGAACTCAGGGGTGCAGGTCCCCAGCCTTCCCTTATTTAGAGAGCTCGAGGTCTGGACCCCCAGCGCGCGTCCCAGGAGAACCTCCAGGCATGGGCGCCCCCAGGCTCCTCCTCCCTCCGAAACCCCAAAGTCCGGGCCGGCCCCCAGCCTCCGGCGGAGCTCAGGAAATCTGTGACCCAGCCCCCTTCTCCCTCGGGACCCAGGAGCTCCGGCCCCCAGCCCTGGCCCCCAGGCCCTGGCGCCCGGTCCCACCTGCTGGTATTCCTGCTCTTGGGGCGCGAAAACGCTGGGCACCGGGCGGAGCTGGAAGTCGGCGCGGGGCAGCTGGTGGAGGAGATGCACCCAAGCTGAGGGCCGGTAGCCCGGGGGCGCCCCCATGGCCCCCGGGGGAGGGGGCAGCGGGGCGGACGCCGGGGCTGCGGGAGCCTCCGGAGTCGAGCGGGGCGCGGGCGGCGCGGGGTCTGGCTGGGCTCAGGGGAGCGGGAGCGGGGGGGAGGCAGGGGGTGGGGGGCGGAGATTGGGGGGAGGGAGGCGCGGGCCGGGCGGGGACGGTGCTGCCCCTGGTGGTCGCGGCGGGGACTGCGGGAGTCGGGAGGCCCCCAGCGCTCCGCGCCCCACCCCGGTCGCGGCTCCCACCTGCTGCCCGCGCAGGTACCGCGCTGCTGGCGTCGGCGGCATCCGGACAGCTGGCTTGCATCGCGATTGAAATCAGCCCTCCTTGTCCATACGAGGCCACTCATACTGTTATTTCACCTAAAACATAATGATCCCTTTATCCTTATGGAGAAACTTCATGTCTGTGTAAAGGTTGCTAGTAAGTACAGAGCGTTTTACAAAGAACGGCCAATTCCATGGGTAAGAAGTCCTCTGTGTACGAAAGTGCTCCCACCTGTAAAAGATGCCCGTATTTGTGTAAAATCTCCGTCCCACTTTTATTCCTAGCCTGCATAAGGACACAGCTTCTAAGCACAAACACTCCTATGTGTAGAGGCTACTCCAGAATGTATGGAAAAATCCACACGCCTGTGTAGCAAGCCTTCATGCTGCATAAGGACCCCTTCTACCTGCATAAGGACCCTGGTCATCTATATAGGGGCCCTTCCCATCCTGTAAACTGACTCGGGATTACTTCGGTGTATACAAGGACCCCTGCCCCTTGGCATTCGCCATACAGTTACAGAGTATTTTTCCAGCCACTCCCCATGTTACATCTCACTGGAATCCTCCGATGCCACACCGATAGATGGGGAAGTGCCAACCCTGGGAGGGGACCTGGCCACCCTGACATCATCACCCAGACTGTCACTATTGCAGCCAAAACTAGGTGCTCAGGAATCTGGCCCCAGGGGTCCCCTCTTGCTGTAGGGCAGGGTGAGACTTTGCCATCTGGAAACCACACACGTGGCCTCTCTTGTGGGAATTGGGATGAGTGGAAGAAAGGGAGATTAGTTCTCCACTTAACCCATTTCCATATTTTGCTCCAGATTGGCAAGAAAGGGCTAGGGAAAAGAGGAATGCTGGTGGTAGCGGAGGTGGTGGTGATGACGATGATGGTGGTGATTATGTTGGTGATATGATGTCATGATGATGGTGATGGTGGTGATGGTGATGATGATGGTGGTGGTGGTGTTGACGATGGTGATGGTGATGATGATGATGATGGTGAAGACATGATTATGTTGACATGTCATGATGATAATTATGATGATGATGGTGGTGATGATGGTGATGAGGACGATGGTGGTGGTGGTGATGGTGGTGGTGGTGGTGATGGTGATGGTGAAGATGAGGATATGATGATGATGATAGTGATGATGATGATGGTGGTGAAGACAAGATTATGTTGACATGTCATGATGATAATGATGATGATGATGGTGGTGATGATGGTGATGAGGACGATGATGATGACGGTGAGGAGGAGGATAGTGATATTGGTGAAGGTATTGATGATGAAATGGGAGAGTGAGAATAGGCGCCTTATCTCTGTCTCTCTCTCTCTCTCTCTCTCACACACACACACACACACACACACACACACACCCTCTCTCATCACTACCCTAGGTCTTCTTCAGCTTTCTCTGGTTCTGGCTAGAGTCATGTTCTCCACCATTCCCAACCAGGTGGCCTACATGGGGCTTGGGGATGAAGAAGATCCCGAGATGAGCGGTTAGAGGTGTATTAAGTGACTCTAGGCAAGTAGTTTTTCATCTTAGAGTCCCTCTTTTTCTGTCTGTAAAATGAAGGCTTAACCCTTTAGGGCTAAGATTAGTATATTCTAAAACTCTTGTTCTGACAATCTCTTGCATCATGTCCACAGCCAGTGTTTGTTGTAGCAGCAGGATTTGCTAATGGGAAGAATTCCAAACGTCATGATGTGCACAGTTGGGCATGTGTACATCAGAGTGCAGGACAGTGAGGTGCTGGTGGTGACTGTGCAACCCAATAGAGCTCAGTGGCTCCACGTTGCCCATAGAATCAAGTCACACCCTCAGCCCTGAGTTTATACCCTCCATCATTTGGCCCTGCATCAGCCCTCTCCATATGGATAATATTCTAGATGAGTGGTTTCCAACTGATAGGGCCACAACCCACAGTGAGAAATACATTTTACATTATGATCTAGTATACACACACACACAAAAAAAAAAAAAAAAAAAAAGTAAAAAGTTTCTGACCACTATGTGCAATGCTCTTGGATAATTTCTATCCTCTGTTACTTCTATTTTGTAATTCAAATCTGGTCACAACCTTCTAAATTGTTTTGTGGCTGGCTAATGGATCTTGGATTGCCACCTGAGAAACATGAATCCTGAATTGCAGAGAACAATCTGGGTTGGTGTTAGAAAAGGGGTAACTGGGGGCCAGGCGCAGTGGCTCGAGCCTGTAATCCCAGCACTTGGGGAGGTGGAGGTGGGCAGATCACTTGAGGTCAGGAGTTCGAGACCAGCTTGGCCAACATGGTAAAACCCTGTCTCGGCCAGGCCCAGTGGCTCACGCCTGTAATTCCAGCACTTTGGGAGGCCGAGGCCAGTGGATCACCTGAGGTCAGGAATTCGAGACCAGTCTGGCCAACATGGCGAAACCTTGTCTCTACTAAAAATACAAAAAAATTAGCCTGGCATGGTGGTGTGTGCCTGTAATCCCAGCTACTTGGGAGGCTGAGGCAAGAGAATTGCTTGAATCCAGGAGGCGGAGGTTGCAGTGAACTGAGATTGTGCCACTGCTCTCCAGCCTGGACAACAGAGCACGACTCCAACTCAAAAAAATAAACAAACAGGCCAGGCATGGTGGCTCATGCCTGTAATCCCAGCACTTTGGGAGGCCAAGGCGGGCGGATCACGAGGTCAGGAGTTCGAGACCAGCCTGGCCAACATGGTGAAGCCCCATCTCTAGTAAAAATACAAAAATTAGCTGGATGTGATGGCACACTCCCATAGTCACAGCTACTCGGGAGGCTGAGACAGGAGAATTGCTTGAACCTGGGAGGCAGAGGTTGCAGTGAGCCGAGATTGTGTCATTGCACTCCGGCCTGGGTGACAGAGCAAGACTCTGTCTCAAAAAAAAAAAAAAATACCCTGTCTCTACTAAAAATACAAAAAAATTATCTGGACATGGCAATGTGTGCCTGTAATCCCAGGTACTCAGGAGGCCAAGGCATGAGAATAGCTTGAACCTGGGAGGCAGAGGTTGCGGTGAGCTGAGATTGTGCCACTGTACTCCAGCCTGGGCGACAGAGTGAGACTCTGTCTTAAAAAAGAAAAGGGGTAAATGTTACTAAGTAGAAGTAAGTTATATTGGCTTCCAGGGGGAGCTCATTGCTTTGTTCTTGCTGCTGTGTCCTCAGCATGCTGCTTTCTTACATGAAATACACACACACACACACACACACACACACACACACACACACACACACCCCATAGTCACCACATATGCCATTCCCCTTCATTCCCCTAGAAAAAGACTTTAAATTGATGGACTCTCTCTCTCTCTCTCTCACTCTCTCTGTCTCTCTCTCTCTCTGTCTCTCTCTGTCTCTCTCTGTCTCTCTCTCTCTCTTTGTTTCTCTGTCTCTGTCTTTGTCTCTCTCTCTCTGTCTCTCTCTCTTTCTCTCTCTATCTCTTTGTCTCTGTCTCTCTCTCTGTCTCTCTCTGTCTCTCTTTCTCTCTCTGTCTCTCTCTTTGTCTCTCTCTGTCTCTCTCTGTCTTTGTCTCTCTCTCTCTTTGTCTCTCTCTCTCTGTTTCTCTCTCTCTCTCTGTCTCTCTTTGTCTCTCTCTCTGTCTCTCTCTCTCTCTCTTTATCTCTTTCTCTCTCTCTCTCTGCTTTACTCTGGCTCTTTCTGTCCCCACCTCTCTGTCTCCCTCACATGTGTTTTGGGCCCCAGAAGGCAAGCCTCTTTAGAGAATGGCTTAGCCTGCATCGATTAAACCCAGGACATCCATCCTCCTGCATGGGACATCTGCAATGCTGCCTGACAGAAATGTATTATCTCTACCTTCTCCGGCCGTGGTTCCCTGGGTCTGTTTCTGCTGAGGAAAACAAACGGTCATTCCAGGTGGCCCTTGGGTATTTCTAGAGCCCTTGGCTGAATACCACCCCTAAACCATCTCAAGCTCTGCAGGTGTTCATTCATGGCTTGGGACGCATGCAAACCCCCTGGTAGAGGGTAGCTCAGAGAACATGGCTGTTGCTATTTCGTTTCAGCCAACGCTTGCCATATGGGAAGAGGGACCTGGCACCACCAGATGTTCCAAATTTCCAAGAGAAGGCAGAAATCTGGATATTTTTAAAAGCAAAATCCCTCAGCTTTTAAATGTTAAAACTAATTCAAATGAAAAAAAAATGCTGTGTGGGCCAAATAAAACCTGTCTGTGGGTTGGAGCTGGCTGGTTTATAAGCTCTGGTCTAGCCAGACATGGAGTAGTACAGGCATGAAAGGGACAAGTGGAGAAAGAGGGGCCCACAATGAGACTGAGAAGGAGCAGCCACAGGGATGGGAGGGAAGATTGGGGGAGGCAGTGATGCTGCCTCCTCCGGGAAGGCCTCCTGACCAGCTTCTGCTGACAGAAGGCAAGGACAGCTCCTGGCTGAAGGACTCAGCATGTGCTTCCCACGGCTTAAGCTTTGGGAGACTTGCCTGCTTAACTGAGTGGCTGTAAGAATGCCAGGAGAGATTTCCAACTGCTTGGTCCTGTGCCTAGCACATAGTAGGTTCTCAATAAATCAGGACCATGTGTGCTGTGCTAACAGCTGTGCTTCAATGATGTATCTGTTCCCCACACACGTATTGAGTGCCTACTATGTCCCAGGCACTGCTGCATGTTCTGGAGAAATGGGCATAAGCAAAAAAGACAAAGTCTCCAGTTGGCACAACTAAAACCGCTGGAGTACAGAAGGTAGAAAATTGAGGAATGAACAGGTGAGCTGAGTCTATACTATCAGGTAAGAGGAAGCAACACATAGATGTGAGTGGATGTGGTGGGGATGAGGTGGTCACTACTTTTTTTTTTTTGAGACAGAGTCTTGCTCTGTTGCCCAGGCTGGAGTGCAGTGGCGTGATCTTGGTTCACTGCAACCTCCACCTCCCCGGTTCAAGCAATTATCTGCCTCAGCCTCCCAAGTAGCTGGGATTACAGGTGCCTGCCATCACACTCAGCTAATTTTTTGTATTTTTAGTAGAGACGGGGTTTCACCATCTTGGCCAGGCTTGTCTTGAACTCCTGACCTCATGATCCACCTGCCTCGGCCTCCCAAAGTGCTGGGATTACAGGCGTGAGCCACCACGTCTGGTGGTTGCTACTTATATAATAGAAGGTGCTCAGGGAATGTCTCTCTCTCCATTTGGATGATATCTGAACAGAGACACAAATGAAGGACGCTCTTTAGTTCATGATTGGCATGACTAAGAGTTCATGCTTTGCAGCCACATTATCTGGTTTCAACCCTGGCTCAGCTCCTTATTAGCTCGGTGACCTTAGACAATTTTCTCAACTCTGTGCTTTCGGTTCACATAAACAGGATGAAAATAATAACCTTGGCCAGGCTCAGTGGCTCATGCCTGTAATCCCAGCACTTTGAGAGACCAAGGCGGGGGGGATCAGCTGAGATCAGGAGTTCGAGACCAGCCTGGCCAACATGACGAAACCCAGTCTCTACTAAAAATAACGAAAATTAGCCGAGCATGGTGGCACGTGCCTGTGATCCCAGCGACTCAGGAGGCTGAGGCAGGAGAATCGCTTGAATTCGGGAGGCAGAGGTTGCAGTGAGCCAGGATCGCACCACTTCACTCCAGCCTGGGCAACAAGAGTGAAACTCTGTTTAAAAAAAAAAAAAAAAGCAAGAAAGAGCAACCTTAACCAATTCCACAGGATTGTTGTGCAGATCGAGTGAACACGCGGGAAGTGTTTGCTGACAAAGTGCTTGACAAGCGCTCGCGAATTATTACGAGGGTGACAGTTGTTGATTTTTAAAAATGACTACAGTGACATCTGCCAAATAGAAGGAAAGCAAAGTGAAGGAATTCACAAGTACATAAGAAAATGACCGGAAAAGGCATAAATACGTAAAGCTGTTCAGCCTTCAGATGTTCAGTCATCCTTATGATCTTTCCCTCCCTCCCCGCCTCCCTTCCTTCCTTCCCTCCTTCCTTCTTCCTTCATTGCTACCTTCCTTCTTCCTTCCTTTTCCCCTCCTTCTTCTCCCTCCCTCCCCCCTTCCTTCCTTCCTCCCTCCCTCCCTCCCCCCTTCCTTCCTCCCTCCCTCCCTCCCTCCTTCCTTCCTCCCTCCCTCCCCCCTTCCTTCCTCCCTCCCTCCCCCCTTCCTTCCTCCCTCCCTCCCTCCCCCCTTCCTTCCTTCCTCCCTCCCTCCCCCCTTCCTTCCTCCCTCCCTCCCCCCTTCCTTCCTTCCTCCCTCCCTCCCCCCTTCCTTCCTTCCTCCCTCCCTCCCTCCCCCCTTCCTTCCTCCCTCCCTCCCTCCCTCCTTCCTCCCTCCCTCCCTCCCCCCTTCCTTCCTCCCTCCCTCCCTCCCTGCCTCCCTCTCTTCCTTTCTCCTTCCTTCCTCCTTCCTCCCTCTCTTCCTTTTTACCTTCCTTCCTTCCTTTCCTCCCTCCCTCCCCTCCTTCCTCCCTCCCTTTCTTCCTTCTTTCCTTCCTCTCTCTCTCCCTTCCTTTCTTCCCTCCTTCCTTCTTCCTTCATTGCTACCTTCCTTCTTCCTTCCTTTTCCCCTCCTTTCTTTCGATTACATGTTTAATAGCTGCCAGGCTGTGTTAAGTAAGCCCTGGGATCTATTAATAATAAAGAAGAATCCATACATTCATTGGTTTGTTCATTCCCCAAGTATTTATTTATTGGACAGCTACTAGGTGCCAGGCATTGTTCTAGGCCCTGGGAATTCAGCAGTGAACTAAAGGGATGAAAATCTCTGCTTTCACAGAGCATGATAGAGATAACTCATTAGGCAAATGAGCAAATATGCAGATATAGCCAGTTTATTAAATAAGCTGATGTCATGGTTAACTTTATGCGTCAACTTGACTGGCCTAAGGGATGCCCAGATAGCTGGTAAGACATTATTTCTGGATGTGTCTGTGGGGGTGTTTCTGGAAGAGGTGAGCATTTGAATCAGTAGACTGAGTAAAGAAGTTCTCCCTCACCAATGTGGGCGGGCCTCATCCAATCTGCTGGAGGCTCGAATAGAACAAAAAGCAGAGGAAGGGCGAATTCACTGTGTTTTCTTAACTGGCGCATCCATTTTCTCTTGCCCTAGGACATCAAACTTCCTGGTCCTCATGCCTTTAGCCTCAGACTGAATGACACCACCAGCTTTCCTGCTTCTTCAGCTTATGGACAGCACGTCGTGGGACTCCTCAGCCTCCAGAATTGTGTAAGAAAAGTTCTCATAATAAACCTCTGCTGGTATCTCTTTATATATCTCTTTGGTTTTCTTTCTTTGGACAAATCTGACTAATAGAGCTGCATTCAACCACAGTGAAATACCAACAGCCCAAAGCAGGCCTGAGATCCAAAGATTCCAGGAATGAAGCACCCGAGTGTTATCCATTATTGATGAGAGAGTAAAGGGTACAAACCCTGTAGGAAAAGGCCTGGCAGCTTCTTACAAATCTAAGCCCACACCTATCCCATGACCCAACAATTCTACTCTTTTTTGTTTGTTTGTTTTTTAGACGGAGTCTCACTGTGTCACCAAGCTGGAGTGCAATGGCATGATCTCAGCTCACTGCAACCTCTGCCTCCCAGGTTTAAGTGATTATTCTGCCTCAGCCTCCCGAGTAGCTGGGACTACAGGTGTACACCACCATGCCTGGCTAATTTTTGTATTTTTAGTAGAGATGGGGTTTCACCATGTTGGCCAGGCTGGTCTCAAACTCCTGACCTCACGTGATCTGCCCACCTCGGCCTCCCAAACTGCTGGGATTACAGGCGTGAGCCACCACGCCCGGCCAACAATTCTACTTTTACCCAAAAGAAAAGAAAATATTTATCCACACCAAGAATTTTGCAAGACTGTTTACAGCAGCTTTATTCATAATAGCCTCAGGCTAGAAACATCCTGTATGCCTATCAACAGGGGAATGGACCAAGATAGGTAATATAGCCACAGAATGGAATACTACTTAGCAATGAAAAGGCACAAGCTAATAATGCATGCAGCAATATGGGTCGGTCTCAAAATTATTGTGCTGAGTGTCAGAAACAAAGGAGGATGCACTGTATGAGTTCAGTTAGATGATTTTCCAAACAGACAGAATTAACATATGGTAGCAAAAATAATAAAAACAGTGGTTGCCTCTGGGTGAGTAGGGTCAGGGTGACTGGGAAGGGGGCTGGGGGAACTTCCTGGGATAAAGGGCCTCGTTCTGTATCTTGATGAGGGTTCGTTTTGTACCAGTGTCTGCATTTGTCGCTCACTTAAGATTTGTGAATTTCTGGCCAGGTGCGGCGGCTCACACCTGTAATCCCAGCACTTTGGGAGGCCGAGGCAGGTGGATCGCCTGAGGTCAGGAGTTCCAGACCAGCCTGGCCAACATGACGAAACCCCGTCTCTACTAAACATACAAAAATTAGCCAGCTGTGGTGGTGCATGCCTGTAATCCCAGCTACTCGGGAGGCTGAGGCAGGAAAATCGCTTGAACCCAGGAGGTGGAAGTTGTAGTGAGCTATCACACCACTGCACTCTAGCCTGGGAGAAAGAGTGAAACTCCATCTCAAAAAAAAAAAAAAAAGATTTGTGCACTCCACTCTATAAAAATTTTACTGAAAAATGTTAATGAGGTGCATGCTTAGTATTGGGAGAAAGTGTAGTGGTGTCTGCAGTCTCTTTTTGAAGTTAATCACAAAAGAAAATAAGACGGATGGATGGAGGGATAAGTAATAAGGCAAAGGAAGATAAATATTAAGCAAGGTACAGTGGCATGAGTCTGTGCTCCCAGCAACTCAGGAGGCTGGTGCAGGAGGATCACTGGAGCCTAGAAGTTCAAGGCTGCTCTGTGGGTATGATTGCACCTGTGAATAACCACTACACTGTAGCCGGGACAACATAGCGAGACCCTGTCTGAAAGAAAGAAAGAAAGAAAGAAAGAAAGAAAGAAAGAAAGAAAGAAAGGAAGGAAGGAAGGAAGGAAGGGAGAAAGAGAGAGAAAGAAAGAAAGAAAGAAAGAAAGAAAAGAGAGAGAGGGAGGGAGTGAGTGAGTGGAAGGGAAGGGAAGGGAAGGGAAAGGAAAGGAAAGAAAGAAAGAGGGAGAGAAAAGAAAGAAAGAAAGAGAAAAAGAGAAGGGAGAGAAAGGAAAGAAACAGAGAGAAAGGAAGGAAAGAAAGAAAGGGAAGGAAAAAGAGAGAGAGAAGGAAGGAAGGAAGGAAGGAAGGAAGGAAGGAAGGAGAAAAGATTAACAGTAGACTAGAATCCAGGTGATAACTATCTAGGTTTTCACTGTAATATTCTTTTTTTTTTTTTTGAGGCAGAGTTTTCACTCTTGTCACCCTGGCTGGAGTGCAGTGGCACCATCTCAGCTCACTGCAACCTCCGCCTCCTGGGTTCAAGCAATTCTCCTGCCTCGGCCTCCCGAGTAGCTGGGACTACAGGTGCATGCCATCACACCCAGGTAATTTTTGTATTTTTAGTAGAGAAGGGGTTTTGTCAAGTTGGCCACGCTGATCTTGAACTCCTGACCTGAGGTGATCCACCCTCCTCGGCCTCCCAAAGTGCTGGGATTACAGGCGTGAGGCACCATGCCCAGCCTGCATTGCACTTTTTTTTTTTTTAAATATGGGTGAGACGCTCTCTCCTGTTGTCCCGCCATGACCCCTGAGAACTAAGCTCTGATTTTTTTATCTTGCCCAAATTCCTACCTAAGGCGTTTGAGGAGTCATGCCTTACAAACCATAAATTCTCATCAGATGGGTTGTATTTAATCCTCTATGGTGTGACTTACTTTCCAATCTGACTCTGGCATAGCATTACAACACAAGGAAGAAAATAAAAATATTTTACCCCAAAACATGTTTCTCTGCCATATTTTGAAATTGCCCTGCAAAGTCTCTTGTGGGAAAAATCCACATTCTTTACAGAACCCCGTTTCTCCTTTGTTTTCCCTTCTTCCTTTCCAGGCCCAGGAGAGCCAGGCACTCTTTTTTTTTTTTGAGACAGAGTTTCACTCTTTTTGCCCAGGCTGGAGTGCAACGGCACAATCTCGGCTTACCGCAACCTCCACCTCCCAGGTTCAAGCAATTCTCCTGCCTCAGCCTCCCAACTAGCTGAGATTACAGGCATGCACCACCACGCCCAGCTAATTTTGTATTTTTTAGTAGAGACAGGGTTTCTCCATGTTGGTCAGGCTGGCTTTGAACTCCCGACCTCAGGTGATCCGCCTGCCTCGACCTCCCAAAGTTGCTGGGATTACAGGTGTGAGCCACCGTGGCCGGCCCAGGCACTCTTTTAGGTCCTGTAAGAAGCATTTTACACCCTGCCCTCTCTCTCTGAAGTCAGCTTCCTCTGCACAATAAAACCTGGTCTCCACGATCCTTTAGCTTAACCTGAACATTTCCTTTCTATTGATTCCGGGTCTTCAGAGAAAACTCAACCAATTGTCAATCAGAAAATGTTTAAATTGCACGCCTCACCCCACCCTTTGTGTTGTTCCACCTTTCTGAACCACGCCAATGTATTTCTTTCTTTTTTTTTTTTTGAGACAGAGTATCACTCTGTAGCCCAGGCTGGAGTGCAATGGCATGATCTTGGCTTACTGCAACCTCCGCCTCCCGGGTTCAAGCGATTCTCCTGCCTCAGCCTCCTGAGTAGCTGGGACTGCAGGCATGCGCTACCACGCCTGGCTAATTTTTGTATTTTCAGTATAGACAGGGTTTCACCATGTTGATCAGGCTGGTTTTGAACTCCTGACCTTGTGATCCGCCCTCCTCGGCCTTCCAAACCCAATGTATTTCTTTTTTCTTTTCTTTTCTTTCTTTCTTTCTTTTTTTTTTTTTTTGAGACAGAGTCTCGCTCTGTCGCCCAGGCTGGAGTGCAATGGTCCGATCTCGGCTCACTGCAACCTCCGCCTCCCGGGTTCAAGCAATTCTCCTGCCTCAGCCTCCTGAGTAGCTGGGACTATAGGTGCATGCCACCACACCTGGCTAATTCTTTGTATTTTTAGTAGAAATGGGGTTTCACCATCTTGGCCAGGCTGCTCTTGAACTGTCAGGCCTCTAAGCCCAAGCTAAGCCATCCTATCCCCTGTGACCTGCATCTATACATCCAGATGGCCTGAAGCAACCGAAGATCCACAAAAGAAGGGAAAATAGCCTTAACTGATGATATTCCACCATTGTGATTTGTTCCTGCCCCACCCTGACTGATCAATGTACTTTGTAATCTTCCCCACCCTTAAGAAGGTTCTTTGTAATCTCTCCCACCCTTAAGAAGGTTC
The DNA here is from genome assembly GCF_000001405.40 of Homo sapiens. Taxonomy (NCBI): domain Eukaryota; kingdom Metazoa; phylum Chordata; class Mammalia; order Primates; family Hominidae; genus Homo; species Homo sapiens. The sequence continues at coordinate 308,686 of NW_003571060.1, read as the reverse complement.
TTTGTAATTTTCCCCACCCTTGAGAATGTGCTTTGTGAGATCCACCCCCTGCCCGCAAAACATTGCTCCTAACTCCACCGCCTGTCCCCAAACCTGTAAGAACTAATGATAATCCCACCACCCTTTACTGACTCTGTTTTCGGACTCAGCCCGCCTGCACCCAGGTGAAATAAACAGCCTTGTTGCTCACACAAAGCCTGTTTGGTGGACTCTTCACACGGACTCGCGTGACACTAACCTCATGATCCACCTGCCTCAGCCTCCCAAAGTGCTGGGATTACAGGCGTAAGCCACCGCGCCCGGCTTCAAGTTGTTTTCATACATAGGTATGGGGGGCCCAGCAGATGAGATGGACCACTGAGAAGACAGTTTGTCACAGTTCTCAAGAGGAAGGGACATGCCAGGCCAGGCAGGACACCCAGAGAGCACCAGGGCCGAGGGAGCATGCAGGTCACACGGGAGAGCACGAGGGATCAGAGGCAGAGGGAGTGAGGGCGGAGAGAGGGCAAGAGCTTGATTTGGTTTTTGCAGGAATGAGTGGGTGGGGCAGGGTAAACAGGTTTGTGATTAGCTAATTTGAATAATTTCAGCAGGGCCTGGGGCATTGGGCCTACTCTAGTGGTCTGGTTCCTGGCCCTGGGTGATGAAGGCAGGTGCACAGCAGCCCTGAGTGTGAGAGCTCAGAAATGGAGGTGGCTGGGGGCTGGGCTCTGGACTGTTTGGTTTGCACATGAAAGGTGTGATTGAAAGACTTGTTGGCCGGGCGCGGTGGCTCACGCCTGTAATCCCAGCACTTTGGGAGGCTGAGATGGGTGGATCACCTGAGGTCAGGAGTTGGAGACCAGCCTGGCCAACATGGTGAAACCCCGTCTCTACTAAAATACAAAAAAAAAAAAAAAAATTAGCCAGGTGCAGTGGCAAATGCCTGTAATCCCAGCTACTCGGGAGGCTGAGGCAGAGAATCGCTTGCACCATGAGGCGGAGGTTGCAGCGAGCCAAGATCGCGCCACTGCACTCCAGCCTGGGTGAGAGAGCAAGACTTTGTCTCAAAAATAAATAAATAAATAGAAATGTTAACAGTAGCTTTGTTCACAAGAGCCCCCAAGACTGGAAACAGCCAGGTGTTCATCAGTGGAAGAAAGGATAAATAAACCACGGAGCCCCGTACAATGCAATCCTGCCCCGCAGTGAAAATGAACGGACTGTGGACACACACAGCAGCACGGGTGAATCTCAGAAACTTTGAGCTGAGTGGAAGAAGCCAGAGAGGAGAGTTCAGTTTTCTGAGAGTTTATGATTGTGCTTGCGTGAAGTCCCAGAACAGTTGAAATTAGTCTATAGTGAAAAAATAATAATATCAGAAGAGTGGTAGCCTCCAGGGGAGTAAAGGCAAGATGTGACTGGGCAGGTGCATTTGGGAGCTTGCTGTGACAATGGCCATATTCTATGTCTCCATAGGGGCTTCAGTATATAATTTTAAAACACGCTTAGGCCGGGAACGGTGGCTCACGCCTGTAATCCCAGTACTTTGGGAGGCCGAGGCAGGAGGATCACGAGGTCAAGAGATCGAGACAATTTTGGCCAACATGGTGGAACCCTGTCTCTACTAAAAATACAAAAATTAGCCAGGCGTGGTGACAGGCACCTGTAGTCCCAACTGCTTGGGAGACTGAGGCAGGAGAATTGCTTGAACCCGAGAATCGCTTGAGCCAAGATCGTGCCACTGCACTCCAGCCTGGTGACAGAGCGAGACTCCGGCTCAATAAATAAATAAATAATAAATAAATAAAACAAACAAAAAAACCCACACAGTTAATGGTGTACTTAAGATGTGTGCAACAGCCGGGTGTGGTGGCTCACACCTGAAAATCCCAGCACTTTGGGAGGCTGAGGCGGGCAGATCAATAGGTCAAGAGTTCAAGACCAGCCTGGTCAACATAATGAAACCCTGTTTCTACTAAAAATACAAAAATTAGCTGGGCATGTTGGCTCATGCCTGGAATCCCAGCACTTTGGGAGGCCGAGGCGGGCAGATCACTTGAGGTCAGGAGTTCGAAACTAGCCTGGCCAACATCGTGAAACCCCGTTTCTACTAAAAATAAAAAAAAAAATTTAGCTGGGCATGGTGGCAGACACCTGCAATCCCAGCTATGTGGGAGGCTGAGGCAGGAGAATCGCTTGAACCTGGGAGGCAGAGGTTGCAGTGAGTCAAGATCATGCCACTGCACTCTAGCCTGGGCGACAGAGCAGGACTCTGTCTCGAAAAAGAAAAAAAGTTGTGAATGGTTGAGTCTGGGTGTCTGGGTGGTGTGGATGGGGTATTCATTCTAAGATTCTTTCAACTCTTCTCTATGCTTGAAAAATTTTTATAATAAGATGTTGAAGGAAAAACTCATCCTCTACCAACCTTCTCACCCCAGATTTGTCGATCTCCTTTAATTACAAAAAAAAAAAAAAAAAGACGTGGGGCACCTGGCACAAAGTGTGTGGGAAGAGGTTTTATTTTGGGAACCACCTTGGCTGCTATGCACCGTGGCAAGTCATAATTTGTCATTTTCCGCTTTCCGTGTATGAACCTTTTTGCTACTTGGAAAGAGGTCCCTGTCAGTCTGAGTCTTAGTGGGAAGTCTGGTTCTGCCTTCCTCTGTGGAGGGAAAGGTGGAATCCATTCTATCCTTTGAGGTGGAGAGTGGGATCCCCCATCACACGGCCCAATGTGGGCCTTTTTTTTTTTTTAAAGAGATGGAGTCTGGCTGTGTTGCCCAGGCTGGAGTGCAGTGGTGAGATCTCCCGTCACTGCAACCTCTGACTCCCTGGTTCAAGTGATTCTCCTGCCTCAGCCTCCCAAGTAGCTGGGATTACAGGCATGCGCCACCACACCCAGTTAATTTTTGTATTTTTAGTAGAGATGGGTTTGCATCATGTTGGCCAGGATGGTCTTGATCTCCTGACCTCATGATCCACCAACCTCGGCCTCCGAAAGTGCTAGGATTACAGACGTGAGTCACCGCGCCCAGCCTTTTTTTTTTTTTTTTTTTTTGAGATGGAGTTTTGCTCTGTCGCCCAGGCTGGAATGCAGTGGCTCGACCTCAGCTCACTGCAGCCTCTGCCTCCCGGGTTCAAGCGATTCTCCTGCCTCAGCCTCCCGAGTAGCTGGGATTACAGGCATGCGCCACCACGCCTAGCTAATTTTGTATTTTTTAGTAGAGACGGGGTTTCTCCGTGTTGGTCAGGCTGGTCTCGAACTCCCGACCTCAGGTGATCCGCCCGCCTTGGCCTCCCAAAGTGCTAGGATTACAGGCGTGAGCCACCGCACCCGGCCTTTTTTTTTTTTTTTTGAAATGGGGTCTCCCTCTGTTGTTCAGGCTGGAGTACAGTGGTGCGGTCTCGGCTCACTGCAATCTCCACCTCTCAGGTTTTAGCTATTCTCCTGCCTGAGCCTCCCAAGTAGCTGGGATTACAGGCGCCTGACCCCACGCCTGGCTAATTTTTTTTTGTATTTTTAGTAGAGACGGGGTTTCACCATGTTGGCCAGGCTGGTCTCGAACTCCTGACGTCATGATCTACCTGCCTCAGCCTCCTAAAGTGCTGGGATTATAGGCATGAGCCACCACGCCCGGCCTGACCATTTTCTTTTCTTTTTTTTTTTTGTTGTTTTTTTGAGATGGAGTCTCGCTCTGTGGCCCAGGCTGGAGCGCAGTGGTGTGATCTCCGCTCACTGCAAGCTCCACCTCCCGAGTTCACGCCATTCTCCTGCCTCAGCCTCCTGAGTAGCTGAGACTACAGGCAACCGCCAACACACCCGGCTAATTTTTTGTGTTTTTAGTAGAGATGGGGTTTCACCATGTTGGCCAGGATGGTCTCGATCTCCTGACCTCGTGATCCACCTGCCTCGGCCTCCCAAAGTGCTGGGATTACAGGCGTGAGCCACGGCGCCTGGCCCGGCCTGACTATTTTCTTACAGCAAATTCTGCAGGGCCTTTCTATGACTCTTCCCATAAGATAGATGCTACTCTCTGCAACAAGGAAAAATAATGTGGCATTCTGGCTAAATTCCTTTATGAAGCCTATCTCTGCTTAGAGGTTATATGAGGTTTAGAGGTTTATGTGAAGTGTCAGTGTAATACAGAGGAAAGAGAGGGACTGCTCAGTGGTGAGTCTTACATGGCAAAATAGAGATTATGTTTTCTGCCCTAAGCATGGTAAGAAAACCGGTTAGACTCCCTCTCCACCTTAAGCAGCTGCCCTGCTGTGCCTGTAAGGGCTTGGCTGTGGGATATAAGGAACCCTCTGTCTCTGCTCCCTTAAAACAAGCAAGCCACACCTGCTGGGGTGGGTCCTAGGCTGGTAGAGCTGTAAGGCAATCCTATTTCTGGTGGAAGCCTGAAAGCAACCTATATAATCCATACATATTCATAAGGTTTGCCTTGTGCGGTGTGGTAGGCAGCCTCCCAGATGGTCCCCAATAATCCTCACCTCCTGGTATTTATAGCATCATGTAATCCCGTCCTTTTAAGGATGATTGTGTGACTTGCATTCTGTTAGCAGACTCTTTTTGCCTGCTTAGTTTGCATACTTTGATGAAACAAAGCTATCCTGTTGCAGAAAACTTTCATGGCAAGGAACTGAGGGGTGGCTTCTGGCCAAGAGTCAGCAAAGAACTGAACTGCCAGCAACACCATGAAATCAACAGAACCTTGAGATGGCCACAAAGCTGCTGGCCCCTTGATTGCAGCCCGGGAGAGACCCTGAAGCTGAAGACCCGGCCGGGCTGTGCTCAGATCCCTGATTCACGGAAATCGCAAGACAATAAACGTGTGTTGTCTGAAGCTGCTCCCTTTGAGGTGATTTGTTACACAGCAATAGCTAACTGATACATATAGAAATAAAGAGAGGCCGGGTGCAGTGGCTCACGCCTGTAATCTCAGCACTTTGGGAGGCCGAGGCGGGTGGATCAGGAGGTTAGGAGATTGACACCACAGTGAAACCCCATCTCTACTAAAAATACAAAAAATTAGCCAGGCGTGGTGGCGGGTGCCTGTAGTCCCAGCTACTCAGGAGGCTGAGGCAGGAGAATGGCGTGAACCCGGGAGGTGGAGCTTACAGTGAGCTGAGATCGAGCCACTGCACTCCAGCCTGGGTGACAGGGTGAGACTCCGTCTCAAAAAAAGAAAAAGAAAGAAATAGAAAATAAAATCTTGGGTCTTTCTTTTGATATCTTGATCAAGAAAGTTTGATCACTTTACCAAACATGTATTATGTATTTTTCATAAATAAAAGAGAATTTATAAAACAGCTTGAATCATGAAACATTAACGAAACGGCCTCACTTAGCCCACCATCCAATTAAGAGCTACAATCTCATCCCGACCACCTCATCTACCTGGAATCTCCTTCCATTCTCATCCTCCACTTTCCTCCTCTGCAGAAGTAACTGTGCTTGTCGTTCCCTTATTTGTTTTATTTTATTATTTTATTTTATTCTACTTTAAGTTCTGAGACAGAGTCTCACACTGTTGCCCAGGCTGGAGTGCGGTGGAATGATCTCGGCTCACTGCAAACTCTGCCTCCCAGGTTCAAGTAATTCTCCTGCCTCAGCCTCCCGAAGAGCTGGGATTACAGGCGCGCACCACCATGCCTGGCTAATTCTTGTATTTTCAGTAGAGACGGGGTTTCACCATGTTGTCCAGGCTGGTCTCAAACTCCTGACCTCAGGTGATCTGCCCGCCTCAGCCTCCCAAAGTGCTGGGATTATAGGCGTGAGGCACTGCACCTGGCCCCTTATTTGTTTAAAATAGTGTCTCTAAACCACATATTGGAATGAACTTGGTAAAAATGACAACAGAAACCATGAATTTTTTTTTGAAATGATTCGTGAAATCATTTTCAATGCCATAGTTTGAAGCTTTCCAATATAGGTCTATATCACAGTTTTTGTATTTTTGTACCTGTTGATGGACACATGGGCTTCTTTTATTTTAGTTACTTTTCTATTTCTATTTATTTTACTTTCCCTATTACGTAACAGACATTTTTTACATGTTTCTTGGTGCATATGTGCAAGAATTTTTAAAGAGTATACATATAAGAATGGAATGATTGCGCTATAGGGATTGTTAGTTTCAATTTTTTGAAATAGTGTCAAAGTGTTTCCAAAAGTAGCCTTACCAATTTTTTCCTGGCTTAATTGAGATATGATTGACAAATAAAAGCATATATATTTGGTCAGGCGCGGTGGCTCATGCCTGTAATCCCAGCATTTTGGGAGGCCGAGGCGGGTGGATCACAAGGTCAGGAGATCGAGACCATCCTGGCTAACACGGTGAAACCCCGTCTCTACTAAAAAAAAAAATACAAAAATTAGCCGGGCGCCTGTAGTCCCAGCTACTCGGGAGGCTGAGGCAGGAGAATGGTGTGAAGCCGGGAGGCGGAGATTGCAGTGAGCCGAGATTGCGCCACTGCACTCCAGCCTGGGCGACAGAGCGAGACTCCGTCTCAAAAAGAGAAGTGTATATATTTAAGGTGTACAACATGATGTTTTGACATATGTACACATTGTGAAATAATTACCATAATCAAGATGTTTAACATATCCATCACCTCACTTTTTTTTCTGAGACAGAGTCTCATTCTGTCACTCAGCCTAGAGTGCAGTGGTGCCATCTCAGCTCACGGCAAACTCCACCTCCCACGTCAAGTGATTCTTGTGCCTCAGCCTCCCGAGTAGCTGGGATTACAGGTGTGTGCCACCACGTCTGGCTAATTTTTGTATTTTTTGTAGAGATTGGGTTTGGCCATGTTGCCCAGGCTGGTCTCAAACTGCTGACCTCAAGTGATCCACTTGCCTCAGCCTCCCAAAGTGCTTGGATTATAGGTGTGAGCCACCGTTCGTGGCCACATAGTTGTCATTTTTGCGTGTGTGGCGAGAGCCCTTACGATCTATTCTGCTAACAATGTTTAAGTACATAATACATTTTCACTAATTTGTCACCATGTTGCACAACAGATCTCTTGAATTTATTTTTTTCTATCTAAAATTGTGTACCCTCTGACCACGATCTTCCCAATCCCTACTCCCCTTCCCAAGCCCCTGGTCACCACCATTCCACTCTCTGCTTCTGTGAGTTCAACTTTTTTTTGAGACAGAGTCTCACTCTGTCGCCCAGGCTGGAGTGCAGTGGCGCAATCTCGGCTCACTGCAACCTCCGCCTCCCAGGTTCAAGCCATTCTCCTGCCTCAGCCTCCCGAGTAGCTGGGATTACAGGCATGCACCACCACGCCCGGCTAATTTTGAATTTTTAGTAGAGACGGGGTTTCTCCATATTGGTCAGGCTGGTCTCGAACTCCCAACCTCAGGTGATCTGCCCGCCTTGGTCTCCCAAAGTGCTGACAGGCGTGAGCCACCGTGCCCAGCCTCCCGAGTAGGTTTTGCCATGTTGGCCATGGCTAGTCTCGAAGGCCTGAGTTCAACTTTTTAATATTCCATGTATAAGTGAGGTTGTGCGATATTTGTCTTTCTGTATCTGGCTTATTTCATGTGGCATGATGTCCTGAAGGTTGACAATTACATCCATACTGTAAATGACAGGGTTTCCTTCCTTTCTAAGGCTGGATAGTATTTCCACTGTGTATATATACATTTCCTTTACCCATTGTCCACTGATGGAGACTTAGGTGATTCCATATGTTGGCTATTGTGAATAACTCTGCAATACACATAGGGGTGCAGACATCTCTTCCACACACTGGTTTCAGTTTCTTTGAGCATATACCCAGTAGTGGGATTGCTGCATCATGGAGGGTAAGCTTTTTTTGTTTTGTTTTGAGACAGAGTCTCGCTCTGTCGCTCAGGCTGGAGTGCAGCAATCTCGGCTCACTGCAAGTTCCGCCTCCCGGGTTCAAACTACTCTCCTGCCTCAGCCTCCCGAGTGGCTGGGACTACAGGTGCCTGCCACCATGCCTGGCTAATTTTTTGTATTTTTAGTAGAGATGGGGTTTCGCCATGTTGGCTAGGCTGGTCTCGATCTCCTGACCTCAGGGGATCCGCCTGCCTCAGCCTCCCAAAGTGCTGGGATTACAGGTGTGAGCCACCGCACCCAGCCAGAGGGTAAGTTTTAACTGAGTGATGGGAGTACAACTGGATTTGAAACAACTTATCCCAGGCCGAAAAATGGTAGCAAAGAAAGCAAATTTATTTATTTATTTATTTTTTTGAGACGGAGTCTCGCTCTGTCACCCAGGCTGGAGTGCAGTGGTGCCATCTCGGCTCACTGCAAGCTCCTCCTCCTGGGTTCACGCCATTCTCCTGCCTCAGCCTCCCGAGTAGCTGGGACTACAAGCGCCCGCCACCACGCCCGGCTAATTTTTTGTATTTTTTAGTAGAGACGGGGTTTCACCATGTTAGTCAGGATGGTCTTGATCTCCTGACCTGGTGATCCACCAGCCTCAGCCTCCCAAAGTGCTGGGATTACAGGCGTGAGCCACCGCGCCCGGCCACAAAAGCAAATTTATGACAGGGACCTGGTGATGCGTGCTGCATCACACCACATCCTTCCATTCCTTTTCACAAAGAGACTCTAGTGGCTCATGCCTGTAATCCCAGCACTTTGGGAGGCCGAAGCGGGCGGATCACAAGGTCAGGAGTTCGAGACCAGCCTAGGCAACATGGCGAAACCCCATCTCTACTAAAAACACAAAAATTAGCCAGTCACGGTGGCTCACATCTGTAATCCCAGCACTTTGGGAGGCCAAGGCCCACAGATCACAGGGTCAGGAGTTCAAGACCAGCCTGGCCAACATGGGGAAACCCATCTCTACTAAAAATACAAAAATTAACCAGGCGTGGTGGCAGGCGCCTGTAATCCCAGCTACTTGGGAGGCTGAGGCAGGAAAATCACTTGAAACCGGGAGGCGGAAGTTGCAGGGAGCTGAGATCGTGCCACTGCACTCCAGCCTGGGCGACAAGAGTGAAACTTTGCCTCAACAACAACAACAACAACAACAACAACAACAACAACAAAAAAAAAAAAAAAAGAAAAGAAAAGAAAAGAAAAAGAAATGATGCCAGGCATGGTGGCTCACGCCTATAATCCCAGCACTTTGGGAGATCGAGGCGGGTGGATCATCTAAAGTCAGGAGTTCGAGACCAGCCTGACCAACATGGTGAAACCCCATCTACTAAAAATACAAAAATTAGCCGGGCGTGGGGGCAGGTGCCTATAATCCCAGCTGCTCGGGAGGCTGAGGCAGGAGAATCGCTTGAACCTGGGAGACGGAGCTTGCAGTGAGCCGAGATCACAGCCACCGCACTCCAGCCTGGGCAGCAGAGCGAGACTCTATCTCAAAAATAAATAAATAAGTAAATAAGTAAATAAATAAATAAATAAATAGATAGAAATGAGCTCTCAAGCCATGAAAAGACACAGAGGAACCTTAAATGCATATTACCAAGTGGTAGAATCCCATCTGAAAAGGCTACGCATTGTCTGATTCCAACAATATGACATTCTGGAAAAGGCAAAGTATGGAGACAGGAAAAGATCAGGGCTGCCAGGGGTTGGGCGAAGGAAGGATGAATAGGTGGTGCACAGAGGAATTTTAGGGCAATGGCTCTCCTCTGTCTAACACTGTGACGGTGGGTGCCTGCCATTAGACATTTGCCTGAACTCATAGGATGTGCAACAGGAAGACTGAGCGAGCCCTAATATGACTTTGGGTGATTACAATGTGTCAATGCAGGCTCATCAGTTGTAATAAAAATACCGCTCTGGTAGGGAACGCTGGTAATGGGGGAAGCTATGTAGGTGTCGGCGTAGGGAGTACATGGAAAATCTCTACCTTCCCCTCATTTTACTATGAACCTGAACCTGCTCTAAAAATAGTCTTTTTAAAACATTTTTCTTCCTCTTCCTCCTCTTCCTCTTCTTCCTCTTCCTCTTCCTCTTCTTCTTCTTTCTTCTTTCTTCTTCTTATTCTTATTTTATTTTATTTTTTTTGAGACGGAGTCTCGCTCTGTCGCCCAGGCTGGGGTGCAGTGGCGCGATCTCAGCTCACTGCAAGCTCCACCTCCCGGGTTCACACCATTCTCCTGCCTCAGCCTCCCCAGTAGCTGGGACTGCAGGCGCCCGCTACCACGCCCGGCTAATTTTTCTGTGTGTTTTTAGTAGAGACGGGGTCTCCCCGTGTTAGCCAGGATGGTCTCGATCTCCTGACCTCGTGATCCATCCGCCTCGGCCTCCCAAAGTGCTGGGATTACAGGCGTGAGCCACCGCGCCCGGCTAAAAATAGTCTTTTAAAGAAAATTTCTCAACCCAAGCACTACTGTATGGAGACAGGGAGGGTCTCCAGGGATTATAGGAATTTAATCAACTTGAGCAATCAGCCTGTTTCACAGCCTTCTGCCCTGCAGCCTGTTTTTCTCCAAACCCTGTGTGGAATGCGGCCACTCATTGGTTGGAACCAGCCTCTGACGGGCCCTGGCAACTTAGAGATGAACCCGAGTGAACTTTCTGCACTGCTGCGCTCAAGTCTCCATGCCGGGAGGAGCTGTAGTCTCGTTACCGTAACATGCGACCCGTGTGCTGGTATGACGACTCGCTGCATCTGCGTGACTGGGACCCTCCTCCACATACAACGACGCGCCCTCTCCCTGCTCCCTCACCCCATAGAGCCCTCCTGTCCCTTTTCCTCAGGGAGACACTGCTTTGAAGAATACACCCAGTGCCTTCCTTAGCTGTGTCAAGTCATAAAACTCTTCTTGATCAAAACCTCTGTATTAGTTTGTTCTCATGCTGCTAATAAAGACATACCCGAGACTGGTTCATTTACAAAGGAAAGAAGTTTAATGGGCTCATAGTTCCACTTGGCTGGGGAGGGCTAACAATCATGGCGGAAGATGAAGGAGGAGCAAAGTCACGTCTTACATGGCAGCAGGCAAGAAAGAGCGTGCAGGGGCGCTCCCATTTATAAAACCATCAGATCTCGTGAGACTTATTCACTATCACGAGAACAGAATGGGAAAAACCTGCTCCCGTGATTCAGTCGCCTCCCACAGGTCCCTCCCATGACACGTGGGGATTATTATTATTATTATTTTGAGACGGAGTCTCGCTCTGTCACCCAGGCTGGAGTGCAACGGCGTGATCTCAGCTCACTGCAACCTCCACCTCCCAGGTTCAAGTAATTCTCCTGCCTCAGCCTCCCGAGTAGCTGGGACTACAGCTGCCCACCACCACGCTCGGCTAATTTTTTGTATTTTTAGTAGAGACGGGTTTCACTGTGTTATCCAGGATGGTCTCGATCTCCTGACCTCATGATCTGCCTGCCTCAACCTCCCAAAGTGCTTGGATTACAGGAGTGAGTCACTGCCCCCCATCGACACGTGGGGATCATTACAATACCAGGTGAGATTTGGGTGGGGACACAGAGCCAAACCACATCACCTGCATTCTCGGGAGAGTTGTTTGCTCCTCACCAGGCAAAGGAACCCTGTTTTTTTCTGGGTAACACTGTTGACTTTCGGGGCTAGGTTATTCCTTGGGGGAGGAGCTGTCCTGTGCATCCCCCGCCTCCACCCCCCACCACCCAGAAGCATCCCCCTCTCCTCTGGGTTGTGACAATCAAAAGTGTCTCCAGACTTTCCCTAGTGTCTGCATTTGGGACCCTTCTATTATTACTGCTGATTCCATGAGTACATGGTAATTACCCGCTGAGTTCCAGGGACTCCACTATAATTATCCAGCTGGTTTTGGGAGCTCCTGGTGCAATTATCCAGCTGGTTCCTGAGACTGCACCGCGATTCCTTAGCTGATTTCCATGACTCTACACACTGCCAGCGCCTGTACATAATTATACACTAGTTTCTAGAGCCTTTCTGTAATTATTCAGCCTTTTATAGAAATCTAATCATAACTACCTGGGCAATTTGTTTTGTTAAGTAGAGTGCTAATGAGTGGTCGCCAATGTTTCAGCTCCTCTTCTGAGTACCAGGGACGTGGGTAGAACTTTGATCCTATCTTATCCTTACAGGATATTGAGAGGAGAGGAGAGAAGTTGACATGGCACCACCCAGTGGAATGACATAGTCAGCACAGAGTGCAGTGGGAGCACAGAGGAAGAGTGCCAGGCCCATCGTGTCCAGCTGTGTAGGTTGTGCACTGCACAACTCTGGGGTCATATCACAAACTGTGAGTGTGAAGAGCCTTGTAAGGCTTCCAGGACAGGTTTCTAGGGGTCACCAGATGCAGTTCTAGAGCAAGGCTGAGGAATCCTGACTCCTAGAAAGAAGGGGGCAGGGAATTGCTGAGGACGTTTGAAGTCTAATGGGATGACACGTCCCCTGCTGTGACAGGCAGCTCAGGTTTCTAGTTGAAGTCTGGGAAGAAGAAGGCTCCATGAAGGCGCTTCTATTTGGAGTCATTTGTGTTACTTCCCAGCTCACTCAGGGTGATCATGGTGACCAACAGGGCTCTACACAGGACCTGTGGCCCCAACCCTCACCCCTCTGCATTCTCTTCCTGCCACTTCCCTCTTCCTACCCCTCTGTCTGCAACTGCCACACTATTCCCCCTGCTGAGCTTTGCACCCTCCAGACCCTCTGGACCACCGCTGCACTTTCTCATTTATCCAAATCACTCTCACCTTCTAGCTGACTGTGACTGTATAATGCCTGTGGGTTACTGCCCCTCTCCTTCTGCAAGAATATAAGCTCTTCCATGGAAAGGGTGTTTGTTTTCTATATTGGTGGACCTCTAGAGCCTCAAACAGTGTCTGGCACACAGGACAGGACCAACAAATACTTACTGAATGAAAAAAATGAATGCCAGATGGAAAAAATAAAAATGAACTAAGCAGGGAGTTTCTCCACTGTGGCCACAAGAGGGAGCCCAAGCTATGTGTTAAACCCTTCCAGCACTAAGGTGGGTGGTCTCTCTGCTCCTCAGCCTGGAGGACCAGGGACAGGTGTGACCTGAACCACGTCCTTTCTCCTCTGTGAGCCTCTATTTCCCCATGTGTAGCGTGGAGATGGAAATGCCTGAAAGGAGTTCCCGTAAGAAGCGGAAAAACCAACAACACATGCACGTGAATGTCTTCCAAGGGGTTATTGCATGTGTCCAAATTCATCTGATTGTGTACATTGTGAGAAGGTTTTTTAGTAGAACAATTATAGCTAAACAAAGCTGCTAAAAATAAATGGAACAAAAATAAAGGAGAATTGCATTGAACAACAACATCCAAACCATTAGGCTAGCACAGGAAACTTGAAGGAGAGTAATTCAGCCCCTGATAAATCAACAGAGTAAGAAATATTAGTTACAGAAAGTGACCATAATGTTACCTTGGGATATTATTAAAGCATAAAACTAAATGGAAATTATGAAGCTGAAAAGTACAATAAATTTCTAGCAAGAGCCGGATGTGGTGGCTCATGCCTGTAATCCCAGCATTTTGGGAGACTGAGGGGAGTGGATCACCTGAGGTCAGGGGTTTGAGACCAGCCTGGCCAACATGGTGAAACCCCGTCTCTACTAAAAATACAAAAACTTAGCCAGGCATGGTGGTGCATGCCTGTAATCCCAGCTACTCAGGAGGCTGAGGCAGGAGAATTGCTTGAACTCGGGAGGTGGAGGTTGCAGTGAGCCGAGATTGCGCCATTGCACTCCAGCCTGGGCAACAAGAGCGAAACTCTGTCTCAACAATAACAACAACAGCAGCAACAACAACAAAAATCCTAGCACGATGAAGACATATTCACTAAAATCAATCATATGTCTATATACTGACAAAAATAATTCAATAATGAAATTAGGAGAGCAATTTTATTTACAAAGCCTCAAAAATAATAAAATGAATAGAAACCAATTTAATAAAGAAATGCAAGATGTGTAGACTAAGAACTACAAAAGATTGCTGAGGGAAATTAAAGATCTAAATAAAGAGAGAAACACTTCATACATTCACAATGGCATGCAAAATAATAAGAAATAAAATTGGGCCAGGTGCAGTGGCTCACGCCTGTAATCCCAGCACTTTGGGAAGCCAAGGTGGGTGGATTGCTTGAGTTTGGGAGTTTGAGAACAGCCTGGGCAACATGGTGAAACCCTAGCTCTACAAAAAATACAAAAATTAACTGGGTATGGTGATGTGTGCCTATAGTCCCAGCTACTTGGGGGGCCAAGGTGAGAGGATGGCTTGAGCCCAGGAGGCAGAGGCTGCAGTGAATTGAGATTGCTCCACTGCACTCCAGGCTGGGTGACAGAGTGAGACTCTGTTTCAAAATAAAAAGATGAAATAAAACGAACAAAACATGTTATCTTACAAAGCAGTATCATAATTTTAGGAACACACTGACCACATCCTTCCTCATTCTTAGGAAAGGAATCATGCTTCTGGAGGTTGCCCTGTGGCCCTGTAATCACGTCCAAATATACGTGATTGGTAAACGTGAAATCATTAAGATGAGTTCCATGAAAAATAAGAAAACAGCAAGAAATAAAGTCAGAACTCAAAAGTGTTTTTTGTTTTGTTTTGTTTTGTTTTTGAGATGGAGTCTCGCTCCATCGCCCAGGCTGGAGTGCAGTGGCACGATCTCGGCTCACTGCAACCTCCACCTCGCGGGTTCAAGGAATTCTCCTGCCTTAGCCTCCCGAGTAGCTGGGACTACAGGCGCCAGCCACCACGCCCGGCTAATTTTTGTATTTTTAGTAGGGACAGGGTTTCACCTTGTTGGTAAGGCTGGTCTCGAACTCACCTCAGGTGATCCACCTGCCTCGGCCTTCCGAAGTGCTGGGATGACAGGCGTGAGCCACCGCGCCCGGCCCAAAAGTGTTTTATAAGGGTTGTTGGGATGACATTGTTAATTTCTACAATGTGCTCCAGTCTGAAGGACTGCAGACTGTGGATGGGGAGCTCAAGTTCAAAGGCCACCTTCTTCCCTTCCTAGCGGAGGATCTTTGGGCAAGCTGCTTAACTTTGCTGTGACGCTGTTTCTGCGTTGGTAAGAGGAGTAGCAATAGTATCCAACGTGAGTGTTTTAGGGGTCGTGAGATGAGTCAGTGCATGCCCAGTGCTTTGAACTGTATCTTGACAAAGCGAGAGCTTCATAGCCACTGTTATTGTGGTATCTCGTCTTTGAGCCACCACCTTTCCATCTGTAAAACAGACTTGGGGTGCTCCATCTCTCCAGTCTTGAAAGGTTCTTTGCAGTAGTTTGCAGTGTAGCAGGTCGTGCTGGGGCCCGAGAGGACTCCAAAGCAGTTCTTGTCCTGGAAAGTCTCAGCTTCCGGGGGCGCTGAGACGCCAGCTGCTGTTATGGCAGCTGAGTCCTGTACGGCACAGAGACACGGGACTGAACGTGAAGGCTGGAGAAGGGGGAGAAACTTGGAGGAGGGAAACTTGCTGCAGAGAAAATTTGGAAAGGTGGGGAGAGAGGAAGGCGTTGCCCGGGGGCACTGGGAGTCTGGGGAAGCCGTGGCATCCAGGTGGAGACGTTCAACAGGCAGCGAGAGTTTCGCCCGCAAGCAGGGAGGAGGGAGCTCACTTTTGTTTCTGAACCGGGGAGGCCGGGTTCTGTGCTGGGAGTTTACTCTGCACGGCTGCAGTTACTGCTGCACGGGAGTTACTGCTGCACGGCTTTACTCCTCCCAGAGCCAGCGTCCTCGTCTATATATAAAACAGAGGTGAACATAGGAACCCTCTACAGGATCCTCGTGGGGATTAAATGAGGCTCGCAGATGGAAGCTGTTGCCTGCTGCGGAGCCTCTTCCTGCAGACGCAGATGTGGGTGTGGATAACACAGATCTGGGCGCAGATCTGCAGGGGCAGGTGCATCCGCCCCTCCCTGCGAGGATGGGAGCCCAGCCTTGCGCCGTGACTCCCAGGAGGGGAGGTTTTCTTCTAGGTACGGAGGCTCTTCTAGGGCTGGACACAGGCATCAGCCCGCAAGTTGCTGCTACTTAGGATGAGAGCAATGTGGGAACTGGCGCCCACAATCGACTTCTGTGAAGAAAAAAACAGGAACTTGAACTTGGGTGAAAAGTTGAGCGTCGTGGAATGCCTGGGAAAATAATTTTTAAAAAATTTAATACAGATAAAGGCAGAATAGCCACTACACACACCCTAGGTGCTGAGGCTCACGGGGCACACCTATGGGAGTCTCCCGGACCCCCAAACCTATAGAAGCTCTCTGCAGACACTTGCAATTACAAAAAAAAAAAAACCTTACTCTATCGAGGAATAATTGACATATAAAAAGCAGTATGTATTTAACATATACGACTTGATGAGTTTGGAGATGAGTATGCCCTGTGTGTCAACACCACAGTTTACGACATAAACCCATCCACCACCTCTCACAGGTTCCTCCCGTCTATTTGTATATTATTATTGTTTGATACTATTTTTATGGCCACATATCAATTTGTGATGATAAGAGCACTTAACAAAAGATCTATCTTCTCAGCAAATGTGTAAGCACACAATACTGTATTGTTACCTGCTGGCACTACACCGCACAGGAGGCTCTGAGACCTCCTCATCTTGCATGACTGAAACTCTAGGGAGAAAATCTGAAGGCGTCAGTCACAGAAGGAGGTCTTGACACCTTATCTGTTTCCACCTAAGCCTGTACTCCCAGCTCCTCATAGGTGGCCATTTTATTTTATTTTCTTAAACAAAAATAATTTTGTTTTTCCTAGTTACGACTGACACATGCTTAATGTAAAAAAATTCGGCCAGCACGGTGGCTCACCCCTATAATCCCAGCACTTTGGGAGGCTGAGGTGGGCAGATCGCCTGAGGTCGGGAGTTTGAGACCAGCCTGACCAACATGGGGAAACCCTGTCTCTACTAAAAATACAAAATTAGCTGGGCGTGGTGGCGTATGCCTCTAATCCCAGCTACTCAGGAGGCTGAGGCAGGAGAATCACTTGAACCCGGCAGGCGGAGGTGGTGGCGAGCCGAGATTGCACCATTGCACTCCAGCCTGGGCAACAAGAGTGAAACTCCATCTCAAAAAAAAAAAAAATTCACCCAGGCATGGTGGCTCACACCTGTAATCCAAGCATTTTGGGAGACAGAGGCAGGCGGATCGCTTGAGCCCAGGAGTTAGATACAAAATACAAAAATTAGCCGGGTGTGCGTGGCACGCTTCTGAAGTCCCAGCTACTCGGGAGGCTGAGTTGGGAGGTTGACCTGAGCCCTGCGAGGTTGAGAGTGCAGTGAGCTACGATCGCGTCCTGCACTTCAGCCTGGGTGACAAGAGCAGGACCCTTTCTTTAAAAAAAAAAAGTCCAGGGACCAGGCGCGGTGGCTCATGCCTGTAATCCCAGCATTTTGGGAGGCCAAGGCTGGTGGATCACAAGGTCAGGAGATTGAGACCATCCCGGTCAACACGGTGAAACCCCATCTCTACTAAAAATACAAAAAATTAGCCTGGCGTGGTGGCGGGCGCCTGTGGTCCCAGCTACTTGGGAGGCCGAGGCAGGAGAATGGCGTGAACCCAGAAGGCAGAGCTTGCAGTGAGCCGAGATGGCACCACTGCACTCCAGCCTGGGCGACAGAGCGAGACTCCGTCTCAAAAAAAAAAATCCAAATAAAACAACTCATAAAAAATGAAATGAGAGAATTTGAAACCCTCATTACCTCATGTTAATCACAGCAAACATTTCTGTTAACACTTTCTCAGAAATCTCTCCTTCCATAAACATGTGTGTAAATGTACATATATAACTTAATGTATGTAACTTCTACATATATGTGTTTTTCCTGTTTTGTTCACTCAACAATACCCTTGACATCTTTCATGTCAATAAAAGTAAAACAGCATCATCCTTTTTTTTTTTTTCTTTGAGACAGAGTTTCGCTGTGTGGGGCAGCCCGGAGTGCAGTGGCATGATCTCAGCTCACTGCAACCTCCGCCTCCCAGGCTCAAGTGATTCTCCTGCCTCGGCCTCCTGAGTAGCTGGGATTACAGGTGTGCGCCACCATGCCAAGCTATTTTTTTTATTTTTAGTGGAGATGAGGTTTCATCCTGTTGGTCAGGCTGGTCTCAAACTCCTGACCTCAGGTGATCCGCCCGCCTTGGCCTCCCAAAGTGCTGGGATTACAGGCATGAGCCACCGTGCCCGGCCAGCAGCATCATTTTTAATGCTCATCCAGTATTTCATTGCATAGGGGTGCCATTATTTAACCTTTAAATGTCCAGTAAACAATGGCCAATATTGTTTCTGATTCACTATTCGTTCTACAAGTATTTGCTGAGCATCTATTATGTGCCAGGCCCTAAGTACCGGTGATAGAGTGATGATCAAGACAGACAAGGTCCCTGGCCAAGTGAAGTCTCCATTCTAATGGGGAGAGAGGGACAGCGTACAAGTCAAAGAGTAGATAATTAGAAAGGAGGATGAACGTCAAGAGAGAATGAAGACAAATCTTCTTAGCAAAGGGATGGGTGTCAGGGGAGTGGACTTCTTTCAACAGAGTGATCTGAGAAGGCCCTTCTTGCTAAGATGATGCTGAGCAGAGACCTGGAGGCTGTGGTGCAAAGCAGGAGGTCAGTGCACCCAGGCAGAGACGCGGAGTCCCAAGGCAGGGAGGGACCTGGTGTCTTCAAGGAACAGCAGGAATGTCATGTGGCCTGAGGGCAGGGAGTGAGGGGCACAGGGACCAACATGAAACTGGAGAGGTGAGTGAGTGTCCCGTAGGTCACAGAGTTTGGGTTTTGGGCGAAGTACATCATGAATCACTGGAGATTTCAATGGTAGCAAGACATGATTTGACTGACCCTTTGAAAACATCACCCTGGCTACAATGAGGAGAACAGCTAAGAAGCAGCAAATGAACACAGAGACACCACTTAGGGAATGTTCCCTGGACGAGGAGAGAGAGGGTGAACCTGGCGCCGTGGTGCTGGCAAGCAGTGTCTGCATGAGGACAGATTCTGGAGGTAGAACAAGGGGAGAGGGTGAGAAAGAGGAGCAGTCGAGGTGATTTCTAGGACCGCAGCTTGTTCAGGTGGTGGACGGGGAAGAAAACGTGGGAGAGCCACAATTTTAACTTTCTCATATTAATCCTTCCAGTGTTTGTTTCTGGGTGAATATGAGTCAATATGAATGTATATTCTGATTCCCCCAATTCTTGGCACAATACAGATGACATCCTGATGTCGTTTAATCTCTAAGAATACACTCTGGGATCTCTCCATAGGAATACATAGGCTATTTTCTTCCTTCCTTCCTTCCTTCATTCCTTCCTTCCTTCCTCCCTCCCTCCCTCCCTCCCTCCCTCCCTCCCTTTCTTTCTTTTTTTTTTTTTTTTTTTTTTTTTGAGACGGAGTCTCGCTCTGTCGCCCAGGCTGGAGTGCAGTGGCGGGATCTCGGCTCACTGCAAGCTCTGCCTCCGGGTTCACGCCATTCTCCTGCCTCAGCCTCCCAAGTAGCTGGGACTACAGGCGCCCGCCACTACGCCCGGCTAATTTTTTGTATTTTTAGTAGAGACGGGGTTTCACCGTTTTAGCCGGGATGGTCTCGATCTCCTGACCTTGTGATCCGCCCGCCTCGGCCTCCCAAAGTGCTGGGATTACAGGCGTGAGCCACCGTGCCCGGCCCTTTCTTTCATTTTTTGAGACAGAGTCTCACTCTGTTGCCCGGGCTGAAGTACAGTGGTGCAATCTCAGTTCACTCCAACCTCCACCTCCCGGGTTCAAGCAGTTCTCCTGCCTCAGCTTCTGGAGTGGCTGGGACTACAGACATGCCTGGCTAATTTTTTTGTATTTTTAATAGAGACAGGGTTTCACCATGCTGGCCAGGCTGGTCTGGAACTACTGACCTTGTGATCTGCCCGCCTCGGCCTCCCAACGTGCTGGGATTACAGCCGTGAGCCACTGCACCCGGCCACAGGCTATTTTCAAACGCATTTCTCCCTTGTCAACTTCCAGAGTGACTGATGAGAAGTCTGATGTGATTATAATAATAGAAACCGGCCGGGCGCGGTGGCTCACGCCTGTAATCCCAGCACTTTGGGAGGCCGAGGTGGGCGGATCACGAGGTCAGGAGATCGAGACCATCCTGGCCAACATGGTGAAACCCCATCTCTACTAAAAATACAAAAAATTAGCCGGGCGTGGTGGCGGGCGCCTGTGGTCCCAGCTACGCGGGAGGCTGAGGCAGGAGAATGGCGTGAACCCGGGAGGCAGAGCTTGCAGTGAGCTGAGATCGCGCCACCGCACTCCAGCCTGGGCGACAGAGTGAGACTCCGTCTCAAAAAAAAAAAAAAAAAAAAAAAAAAATAGAAACTTAGTGCACAGTTGTCTGTTTTCTCTCACCTAGAATATGTTTATTTTCTTTTTCTTTTGTTTCTGAAAGCGTCGTGACAATGCACCTGGGTGAGTTCCTTGGGCACTTACTGGGGCATTTCTTCTGTTAACCTTGTGTTTGCTGCTTTTCTGGACCCTTCCTGCACCTCCCCTTGACTTCCTTTCTCCTTCCAGCTCCACAAGTTGCATGCTCAGTAAGTAATTTCCCAAACTTCGTGTTTTCTAAAAAAAAAAAAAAAGTGTACATTTTCCCCTAAGTAGGACTTTTATTGCATTCAGCAAGTTTCGATATGAATCACTGTCTCTGCTCATTTCTAAATATTTTATGTCTCCTGTGTTTTTTAAGTCTGAACTCATAAGTTGTACTGAATTTTTAGTTTTAAAAATGTATTTTTAAATCTTTTAATATTTAATCTTTTACATAAATTTGTAGTCACAGAATATGGTCTGTATTTCTTTTTTTTCTTTTCTTTTTCTTTTCTTTTCTTTTTTCTTTTTTTTTTTTTTTTTTTTTTTTTTTTGAGACGAAGTTTTGCTCTTGTTGCCCAGGCTGGAGCGCAATGGCACAATCTCGGCTCACTGCAACCTCCACCTCCCGAGTTCAAGCAATTCTCCTGCCTCAGCCTCCCAAGTAGCTGGGATTACAGGCATGCACCACTACGCCCGGCTAATTTTGTGTTTTTAGTAGAGACGGGGTTTTGCCATGTTGGCCAGGCTGGTCTCGAACTCCTGACCTCAGGTGATCCGCCCTCCTCGGTCTCCCAAAGTGCTGGGATTACAGGCATGAGCCACTGTGCCCAGTCATGGTTTGTATTATATGAAGTTTTTGGAAGATTTTGAGACTTCCTGGGTGGATTAATAAGTCATCAATTTTTGTAAATGCTTCATTTGTTCTTGAAAAGGATGTGGATTCTCTGCTGATGCTGTTTTGTACATATAATGACAACACCAATAATGAAAATATAACAGCGACAATAACAATCATATTAACGATAAACGTTAGAGCTCTTACCAGATGACAGGCTCAGTCTGACTACTTTTTTTAAAGAAAGCATGCTTACTTTTGCCTTATATTTATGATTATGATTATGATTATTTTTTGAGATGGAGTTTTGCTCTCGTTGCCCAGGCTGGAGTGCAATGGTTTGATCTCTGCTCACTGCAACCTCTGCCTCCCGGGTTCAAGCGATTCTCCTGCCTCAGCCTCCTGAGTAGCTGGGATTACAGGCATGTGCTACCACGCCCAGCTAATTTTGTATTTTTAGTAGAGGCAGGGTTTCTCCCTGTTGGTCAGGCTGGTCTCAAACCCCCGACCTCAGGTGATCCGCCCTCCTCAGCCTCCCAAAGTGCTGGGATTACAGCTGTAAACCACCATGCGCAGCCGATTATTTTTTATTTGTATACGTTTATGGGGTACGAGTGTAACTTTGTTGCATGGATAGATTCCAGAATGATGAAGTTAGGGCTTTCAGGGATCCACTAACCCAGTGACATACATTGTATCCGTTACGTAATTTTTTTTTTTTTTTTTTTTTTTTGACGGAGTCTTGCTCTGTCACCCAGGCTGGAGTGCAGTGGCGTGATCTCAGCTCACTGCAACCTCTGCCTCCCGGGTTCAAGCGATTCTCCTGCCTCAGCCTATCTGATTACTTTTAACATAATAACTCACCGAATAGTCACAAAAATTTTATGAGTTCTGTACAATTACTTTGTATTTTTTTTTTTTTTTTTTTTTTGAGACGGAGTCTTGCTCTGTCGCCCAGGCTGGAGTGCAGTGGCGCGATCTCAGCTCACTACAAGCTCCACCTCCCGGGTTCACGCCATTGTCCTGCCTCAGCCTCCCGAGTAGCTGGAACTACAGGCTTGCGCAACCACGCCCGGCTAATTTTTTGTATTTTTAGTACAGACGGGGTTTCACCGTGTTAGCCAGGATGGCCTCGATCTCCTGACCTCGTGATCCGCCCGCCTCGGCCTCCCAAAGTGCTGGGATTACAGGCGTGAGCCACCTTGCCCGGCTGAAAAATTTTTTTTACAGAGGAAGAAGTAGAGGAACAGAGAGGTTAATAAACTTACTCTAAAGTCACAAAGCTTATAACTGGTACAACCATAATTAAAAGCTAGAGATCTGGCTTCTAGAATTGTACTCAGTAATCATGCCCTTGTAGCCTTCCTTATACTTCCTATATACTGTATATGTCTATTCATTCATAAGTTTAGAGATTTTAGATACTCAACAAATATTCATTCAAAAAAATTTATTGAGTATCTATTGTGTGCCAGGGACTGTCCTAGGTGCAGGGACACTATAGGAAACACTGCAGAAAAAACATCTATGACTTCATGGAGATATATTCTAATGGGGGGGCAGATCATAAACAATATTAATAAATAAAATATATGCAAGATTAGTGATATATGCTGAAGAAAGAAAAAAAGGCAGTGAGAGGTGATATGAAATCTGGAGGGAGTGTTGCAACTTTAGATAGGATGGTCCAAGAAGACCTGAAGGAGAAGGGAATATTGGAGTCAAGAGTGAAGGAGGCAGAGAGTGAGCCCCATGCATCTCTGGGGGAAGAGTGTTCCAGGCAGAAAGCATGGCACATGCAAAGGTCCTGAGGCAGATGCATGCTTGGTGTATTCTAGGAACAGCAAGGATGTCCATGTGGCTGGATCAGGGTCACGAAGGGGAAAGTGGGAGGAGATACAATCAGAGTGCTAAGCCAAGAGGTGGGTGGGGGAGAGAAGATGCAAAGTCTTGTCAATATGACCTTGGTGGGAAGTTCTGGAACGCTTTTGGGCATAAGAGTGTATTAGTCCATCCTGGGTGCCAATTTTCTGTATTAGTCCGTTCTTGTATTGCTGTAAAGAAATACCTGGCACTGGGAAACTTACAAAGAAAAGAAGTTTAATTGGCTCATGGTTCTGCAAGCTGTACAGGAAGCACAGTGGCTTCTGCTTGGCTTCTGGGGAGGCCTCAGGAGGCTTTCAGTCATGGTGGAAGGCAAAGGAGGAGCAAACACTTTACATGGCTGGAGCAGGAGGGAGAGAGAGAGAGAGAAGAGAGGTGCCATACACTTTTAAACAACCACATCTAATGAGGACTCACTCACTATCGTGAGAACAGCACCGAAGGGGATGGTGACAAACCATTCATGCTGGAGCCACCCCCATGAGCCAATCACCTCCCACCAGTCCCCACCATTCATACCGGAGCCACCCCCATGAGCCAGTCACCTCCCACCAGTCCCCACCATTCACGCAGGAGCCACCCCCATGAGCCAATCACCTCCCACCAGTCCCCACCATTCACGCAGGAGCCACCCCCATGAGCCAATCACCTCCCACCAGTCCCCACCATTCATGCAGGAGCCACCCCCATGAGCCAGTCACCTCCCACCAGTCCCCACCATTCATGCAGGAGCCACCCCCATGAGCCAATCACCTCCCACCAGTCCCCACCTCCAACACTGGAGATGACAATTCGACATGAGATTTGGTGGGGACACAGATCCAAACCATACTAAGGAGTGACACAAAGTGGCCAGTGCTTTTGCTATACTGCCATTTTATTGCCAAATCGTATTTTATGATCAGCATGCCTTATTTTATGGAATTGGACTTGCACTTTGGAGGGAGACTTTGATTTTCATGAAGGCATGTGGCATGCATGTGATAATGATGCCAGCAGTCCAGGTAAGCTGCTGTCAGCCCTTTCTCCAGGACATCACCCCCCGGTGTGAGTAGCTGGGCATTACCCTTGTACTTCCACTCTGGGGGCTGGTCACTAGGACCTGGCGGCAGGTACCCGGGACCTTCACTCTCTAAGAAGACACCTTGGGTTTCACCTGATGACCACTCCTTGCTCCTGAGGGGCATCCTTCCTGCTCTACCTGGACGTTGCTTTTGTTGTGTTCCTCTCAGCCACCTGTACAGGGACCATTGCTTCCAATGAAGAGGTCTTCTCCAAGAAGGGCTCCTTCCAAATTCATGGTCTTGATTAATGCAAAAATTTCACAGGAATAATAAAACATTTCATAGGAATCAGCTCTTGGCTAATTTTCCCCCATTGCCTGATCATCTTTTGAGTCATTTACTGCTTAATCTTTTGTAGAATCCACCTTCTTTTGACAAAGCTCTGTTCTCAAGGGAATGATTTCCCAGAATGACAGCCATAAAGTTAGCTATTGTCTTCTCTCATCCGGACCCACCCAAAACTCCAGAAACGAGCTTGGCTGGCACGGTGCATGAGCAGGCATCCCTGTGGCTTGGAGCAGCCATTGCTGTGTCTGATTGGCTGTGATCCTTGGGAGAATCGTTATCTTCTTACAAGACAACTCTGCTACTGTGTGGAGAACAGATTAATAGAGGAGGAATGTTAGATGCAAGAAGGATTAGTTAGGAAGCTCTTGCAATGATCCAGGTACAGCAGACAGTGGTTCAGGCTCGGGTGGTCTCCAAGAGGTGGAGAGAAATGATACTATTCTGGAGATATTTCAAAGGGAAATGTCTGATAATGTACTCACAGCTGTGGGATATGAGGAAAAACATGGAGTCAAGGGTAACACTTATTTTTTTTTTTTGCCCAAATAACTAGTGGCTGGAATTCTCATTTACTGAGATGGGAAAGACCTTAGGAGGAGGAGATTTGGGAGTGAATATAAGCAACTTATATTATAACATGTTATAAACACGTGAGGTTTAAGTTCCTACTGGACATCTACTGTGTGGCTTGATGTTTTTGATTCATTTTAGGAAATATTGTTCAGTAACCCTTCCAATATCGTGTCTGCCTTTCTCTTTCTCTGTCTTTCTTCCCCTTATGGGATTCCAGTTGTACATATGTTAAGTATTTTCACCATGTCCCGTATTTTCTTTTTTTTTCTTTTTCTTTTTTGAGATGGAATCTCACTCTGTCACCCAGGCTGGAGTGTAGTGGCACCATCTCGGTTCACTGCAACCTCCGCCTCCTGGGTTCAAGCGATTCTCCCGCCTCAGCCTCCTGAGTAGCTGGGATTACAGGCATGCGCCACTGAGTCCGGCTAATTTTGTATTTTTAGTAGAGATGGGGTTTCTCCCTGTTGGTCAGGCTGATCTCAAACCCCCAAGCTCAGGTGATCCACCCGCCTTGGCCTCCCAAAGTATTGGGATTACAGGTGTGAGCCACCGCGTCCGGCTGTGTTTGTTCTTATATTTGCTAGTTCTTTGTTGAAATTCTTCATCCTGCTCCTACTCAGCTTTTTGGTCTCTCATCTGCTGCCTTTAGTTTCAGAATCAGCAAACCGTTAACATAAAACTAACCTCAAAGGATAAAGTCCCCTTGCTTGGTTTCCTTCCTCTTTTATGTCTTGGAACCCTAAATTCTCTCTGCCTTGGAAGCATGCCAAGTTCTACAGACAGATGTTCTTTGGTTTTTGTTCATCTTTTACAGTTGTTGTTGTTTTTTTTGTTTTTTTTTTGTTTTTGAGACGGAGTCTCACTCTGTTGCCCAGGCTGGAGTGCAGTGGCGCGATCTCGGCTCACTACAATCTCCACCTCCCGGGTTCAAGCGATTCTCCTGCCTCAGCCTCCAGGGTAGCTGGGACTACAGGAACCCACCAACACGCCTGGCTAATTTTTGTATTTTTAGTAGAGAAGGGGTTTCACCATGTTGGCCAGGATGGTCTCGATCTCTTGACCTCATGATCTGCCTGCCTCGGCCTCCCAAGGTGATGGGATTACAGGCGTGAGCCACCGCGCCTGGCCTAAAGTTTTTTTTTTTTTTTTTTTTAATTAACGGTGAGAAGTTTAGTCTAAAACAACCTAGTCAGATATTTCTGGAAGCCAAACTTCCATCAGCATTTCTTCTGAGCCTACCTCCCAGTCATAAATCCACATATTTACTGAAATTCCTGCTGTGATAATTCCAGTGCAAACAAATCATCACTGTCCTGGAAGGCAAGAACTTTTTAACTGGTCTATCCACACTTGGTTTTTCTTGTTTTCTTTAAGAAATACAATGATATATCAATAATAGGTAAGGACGGCCGGGTGCGGTGGCTCACGCCTGTAATTCCAGCATTTTGGGAGGCCGAGGTGGGTGGATCATGAGGTCAGGAGATGCAGATCAGCCTGGTCAACATGGTGAAACCTCGTCTCTACTAAAAATACAAAAGTTAGCCAGGCGTGGTGGTGGGCGCCTGTAGTCCCAGCTACTCAGGAGGCTGAGACAAGGAGAATTGCTTGAACCTGGGAGGCGGAGGTTGCAGTGAGCCGAGATCATGCCACTGAACTCCAGCCTGGGTGACAGAGCAAGACTCTGTCTCAATAATAATAATAATAATAATAATAATAATAATAATAATAATAATAGGTAAGGACATACTTTCTTCCTGGGTTGAAATCCAGTTCCTTCCATGAAATTATGCATGTTAATACATGACACTAATCAAACTAATTAACCTCTGAGTTCAGTGTTCTCATCATTAAAATGAGTCTAGTGATGAAAACACCTTTCCAAAGTTGTTGGGAAAATTAAGTAAACTATCCATACTGGGGACTCAGGGCAGTGTCTGGCATAAAGTAAATGCTCAGAAAACGTTACCTCTTACTGTTTTTGCTTCGTGCAATTCTGACTTCAGGAAGTGGTCTTACAGATACATTTTAGACAAAAATATGATGATGCCATACTTATGCTCAAAACCTGTCCCACTCTCTTGAGGGTAAAATACCAAAACTTTATTTGGCCTTTTAGAGACTCCTGCTCAATCAGTACACATATTCTTCGTATTATTTTTCCATCTGGAGTCCACTCAACTTACAACAGGAAAAATTGTCTCCTGATTAGGGCTTTCACAGAAGCTGTCTCCTCCGTCCACGTCTCCCCCAGCTGCTCTTCCTGTCGCCAGCTCGTCAGTCCTCAGCCCCAATTCCACTCCACACTGCAGGTGGCTTCCCTGGAGTTAGCTCTGAGGGTTGAGTCCCCTTTTCACACAAGGTCGTAGGATTTTTTTTTTTTTCTGAGACGGAGTCTTGCTCTGTCCCCAGGCTGGGGTGCAGTGGCTCGATCTCGGCTCACTACAACCTCTGTCTCCCAGGTTCAAGTGATTCTCATGCCTCAGCCTTCCAAGTAGCTGGGACTACAGGTGTGCACCACCACACCCAGCTTAGTTTTGTATTTTTAGCAGAGACGGGGTTTCACCATGTTGGCCAGGATGGTCTCCACCTCTTTTTTTTTTTTTTTTTTTGAGATGGAGTCTCGCTCTGTCGTCCAGGCTGGAGTGCAGTGGCACGATCTTGGCTCACTGCAAGCTCCGCCTCCCAGGTTCACGCCATTCTCCTGCCTCAGCCTCCCAAGTAGCTGGGACTACAGGTGCCCGCCACCATGCCCGGCTAATTTTTTTGTATTTTTAGTAGAGATGGGGTTTCACCGTGTTAGCCAGGATAGTCTCGATCTCCTGACCTTGTGATCTACCTGTCTTGGCCTCCCAAAGTGCTGGGATTACAGGCGTGAGCCACCGCACCCGGCTGGTCTCCATCTCTTGACCTTGTGATCTGCCTGCCTTGGCCTCCCAAAGTGCTGGGATTACAGGCGTGAGCCACTGCGCCTGGTCACATTCAGATTTTTTATTTAAAAGGCACGGATGAGCCCTTTCCACTCTCTCTTCCTCTTTCCCCTCACTGGTAACAGAGCACTCCAAGGTTCTAGGGGAGGTTGGACCCCAAAGTTGGAAGAATCTGGGCACCTGAGTCACCTGATGGAGGAGCTCCAACTGCCAACCGGGGGCCCCCATATGGACGTGTCACCCAGTGAGAAGTGAGCCTTCCATTGTGACAAACTGCAGGTATTTCAAGGCTAATTTGTTAAAATCTACGGTTAATATGCTATATATGACTTTTGAATAGTCAGAGGTGTGCCCTCCACATTAGACTGTGAGGTCCGTTGACTTGTGTGGCTCGTCTCTGACACAGACTCAAGCCCTTAATAGGCGCCTGGAAACGTATGTTTTCGTTCACACAAAAAGGAAGTTGACCAAGCCCCCTTGATGAAGCCTCACTGGGGAGGTGGCCCATCGAAGGTTGTATATTGTGAATGGGGCGAAGGCAGCGTCGCCGTCTCCTTCAAGTCTGACCTCCAGGTTGGTGTTCAGATTCCCCCTCCACACCCCACAGCCGTGGTTGCCCGTCTGGATTTGGTGTTTGGGTCAGAGATGACGTTCGGGCCGGGCGTATGGATGATGATGTCCAAGGAGACAGTTCTCTCCTTTACCCCAGTCACAGGAAGGAAGAACTAAGCCTCATGGTGACTTCCTGGGAGATACGTGGTAAGAAGCCACAAGACGGTTGGGACTGAGTCTCTGCGCACCGCATCCTGAGCCTCTGCATTCTGCACAGCGGGGCGGGCGCAGGCAGCACGGTGCCCCTTACCATGCTTTCTTCCTGGACTTTCCCTTGACCAGTCTTGGCACGGCAGGCGAGGGATTGAGGGATTGGGGCTGGGAGGTGGGGAAGACAGCTCTCTCCCTGGGCCCATGTCTGGTTAGATCAATGCTGTGGGAGCTTAGCGATCGAAGAGGGAGCAGAGATGACGGCGGGACGGCATTGTCTGCCCAAGCCTCAGGCTTCGCAGCCCAGGCTGGGACCAAGAGCTTACAGACGTCATCGAGTGCAGATTTTGAGCGACGTACTGAGCATTGTAAATCCAGATTTCTCTTCCAGAGCTGAGTCTGGGCCACAGGACCTGGACACAGGAGGGTCAGTCTTTCCGGTAATGGTGAGGGTCTGTCTTCTTGGAGCAGCACAGCGGACTCCCACCAGGACAGTGGATGCTGGGTACGGAAGGGCTGGGCTGAGGACAGTGGATGCTGGGTACCGAAGGGCTGGGCTGAGGGGGTCACTTTGGCAGTGGTTCTGGAGTCTAAATTTCTAAGGGCCTGGAACTCAGGAGACTCTAGATGCTGATTCTTTTCTGGAGAACTTCTCCAGAGTCACCATCCTGGCTTGTGCAGACTCAACATTCCACCTGAAGAGCTCTGGGAACCTCTGGGGCTGGGAGCCTTCTGGGCCTGATGAGTTCTGTTGGGATGGAGAAGATGATCTTGAAGTTAAAGATTTCAGTGGGAGTCCAGGAAAACGTCGCAGCTGTCCATCATACCCACAACAGCAAACGACTCAGGACTTTGCCAAGGTCACTGCGGCAGCCAAAACCACAGCTGTGATCTGGGGCCGGACTCATACCCAGGGGTTGTCTGGGTTCAGGTTCTGCACCCCCGGTTCAGAGAAAGAGGAAACGGAGTGGGCCGTGTGGACCCCGTCCTTCATCGAACTCCAGAACTAAGGGAACTGGGAGGGGAGAAGGCCGTCACCCTTGCACAGAGCTGCCTCCTTCAGTTCTAGTGGTTTCTACTCCTCTCTGCAGGTTAGCTAAGACGTGCATGGGTTCCAGAGGGAATATGACAATATTTCTCTTTAATATTACTTGAACCTTTGGTTTTGATTTCCTTCTAAGTACAGGGGAGTCAATCACCCCACATGGTCCATCAATCAGGTGTCACAACATCATGCTCCTGGGCTATACATTCTCAGGTACATTTCTTCTTGAGATTATTTTTCACGTGAGGCAGAAATATGTGGCTGCTCACCAGAAAAAAAAAAAATTCTGTACTTACCCTTACAGTGCAAGCATTGGAACCTCTGGGAAGTGGCTACCCCCACCAAGGGACTTTTTCCCTGGTCTTGTTGCATCATTGTGTGACTGTTCATAACACTATTTATAGCCAACAATTCTGGACAGAAATGACATGTGTCAGCAAATTTTGCAAGTGCACAGATATATTCTGTTTCTCCTTCTTTCTTGCTGTTTGAAGTACGGGACGCCATTGCCCAAGGGCATGATGGGAGCACAATGGAGGAAGCGGGTGTCCCTGAGTCATCCTGGGGAGAAAATTCAAATTCTGCCCCAGAGAAAACCGCACTGGTCATTTACATGAGTGAAAAGCCAAATCCCATTGTGTTAAGCCATTGGTGCGATCTCGGCTCACTGCAACCTCTGTCTCCCTGGTTCGAGCTGGGATTACAGGTGTGCACCACCACTCTTGGCTCTCACTCTTGTCTCACAATAGTCGTGAAATAATTTGTGATTTGCTATTTGACCCTGTTCCCATAATCATTACACTAAGAGCTAGGTTGAGGGCAGGGACTGGATCTGTTTTGTTCATTCCTGAATCTCAAACACCAAGCGTATAAGAGGTAATTGATAAATATTGGTCTATCGACTTATTTATTTTATTTATTTATTTATTTTTGAGACGGAGTCTCGCTCTGTCACCCTGGCTGGAGTGCAGTGGCGCGATCTCGGCTCACTGCAAGCTCCGCCTCCCGGGTTCATGCCATTTTCCTGCCTCAGCCTCCCAAGTAGCTGGGACTACAGGTGCCCGCCACCACGCCCAGCTAACTTTTTGTATTTTTTTAGTAGAGATGGGGTTTCACCGTGTTGGCCAGGATGGTCTCGATCACCTGACCTCGTGATCTGCCCGCCTTGGCCTCCCAAAGTGCTGGGATTACAGGCGTGAGCCACCACACCAGGACTGGCTTTTTAATTTAATTTTGTTTTTTTAGGACAGAGTTTCGCTCCTGTTGCCCAGGCTGGAGTGCAGTGGTGCGATTTCGGCTCACTGCAACCTCTACCTCCTGGGTTCAAGCAATTCTCCTGCCTCTCAGCCTCCCAAGCAGCTGGGATTACAGGCGCCCGCCACTATGCCCCTCTAATTTTGTATTTTTAGTAGAGATGGGGTTTCACCAGGTTGGCCAGGCTGGACTCGAACTCCTGACCTCAAGTGATCCATCCGCCTCGACCTTCCAAAATGCTGGTATTACAGGCATGAGCCACTGTGCCAGGCCAGTTGATCGACTTTTAAAGAAAGAATATTCACAAATTTAGATTTAGAGAAGTTTATAAGGAGGCCGGGCTCAGTGGCTTACACCTATAATCCCAGCACTTTAAAAGGCTGAGGTGGGCAGATCACGAGGTCAGGAGTCCGAGACCAGCCTGGTCAGCATGGTGAAACCCCGTCTGTACTAAAAATACAAAATTATCTGGGTGTGGTGGTGCATGCCTGTAATCCCAGTTACTCACGAGGCTGAGGCATGAGAATCACTTGAACCCGGGAGGCGGAGGTTGCAGTGAGCCAAGATCATGCCATTGCACTCCAGCCTGGGTGACAGAGTGAGACTTCATCTCAAAAAAAAAAAAAAAAAAGAAAGAAAGAAAGACAAGTTTATAGGGGAAGTGGCTTGTCAAAGTTCTCTGAGGCTGTGGGACAGGAAGTCACAGGAGAAGCTCATTCTGGCTGACTTCCCAGCTGGTGTTCTGCACCTCTATCAGTATCTTAGGAACCAAGTTACCACGACACACCTATTAGAGTGGCCAAATTCTAAAACGCAGACAATACCACATACTGGCCTACTGGCGAGGATGTGGAGCAACGGGAACTCTCATTCATTGCTGGTGGGATTGCCAAATGGTACAGCCACTTTGGGAGACAGTGCGGCAATTTCTTCTAAAACTAAATATAGCTTTGCCATGTAATCCAGCAATTGCATTCCTTGATATTTACCGAAGGGAGCTGAAAACATACGGTCATATGGATCTTTACAGTAGCTTTATTCATAATCGCCCAAACTTGGAAGCAACCAAGATGCCCTTCAGTAAGTGAGTGGATTAACTATGTGTCCAGACAATGGAATATTATCCCATGCTAAGAAGACACAAGCTCTCAAGTCATGAAAAGATGTGGAGGAGAGTTCAATGTATATCACTACACGAAATAAGCCCGCCCAAATGGCGTATCCACTGTCTGATTCCAACTATGTGACATTCTGGAAAAGGCAAAACTATAGAAAGAGTGTAAAGTTCATTGGTTGCCAGAATAAAAGGCTTGGACAAGAGGAAATCATCCCAGTGGAAATGGAGAAACGCAGGAACAAATGAAGAGCAACAGAAGAAGCTAAATATTTGGGTAAAGACAGGAATTTTGAATGATGATTTCATCATTAATGAATTAAGAAGACATTGATGCGTGCTCATTCTATATTTGATGACATTGCAAACATTGTTTTGAAAACTATACTTTGCACTAAAATTAAAAACGAGGCTGGGCACAGTAGCTCATGCCTGTAATTCCAGCACTTTGGGAGGCTGAGGCAGGCAGATCACCTGAGGGCAGGAGTTCAAGACCAGCCTGGTCAACATGGCGAAACCCCATCTCTACTAAACATACAAAAATTAGCTGGGTATGGGGTCACACCCTTATAATCCCAGCTACTCAGAAGGCTGAGGCAGGAGGATCGCTGGAGCCTGGGAAGTGGAGGCTGCAGTGAGCTGAGATTGCACCATTGCACTCCAGCCTCGGTGACCCACCTTAAATAAATAAATACAATTTTTAAATGATAGCATATATATATATACACACACATATACATACACACCAAATAGGTACATCGATGAGAGAACACTATATTTACAAAAGTGCAAGGGAAATTTGAATATAAGACTTCAGATGCTGGTTACGGTACCTGAGGTAGGAGGGGGAAACAGGCTGGAGTATACACTACAGAAATAGACATGCTTTATCAATTGTCTGATTTCCCTGGAGCATGTTGACTTCACGTTGATTTTTTTTTACATGTTCTGTTAAAAAAATTTCTTTAAATTGGCCTTTGGAAATTTACCAGCAGTGTGCTGGTAAAGTCTTGACAATCAGCTCTCTGAAAAAAAAAGCAAAAAGAAAAACAAAAAACAACCCCGACGTGTAGCATTTGCCGATTTCTCTGGTGTAAATACTCACAGCATGGCTTTGACATGAGTTTTACATTTGGTAAAAGCAAATTGTGCCTACTTTGAATAGAAGGATTGGGACAGAGATATGGTTCTTGTCAGGCACTAATTAGGGAGTAAGGCTTGTCTAATATTGCCTTGGCTCTCAAGCAAAATAAAAAAAAAAAAGTAACGTTTGGGAATCTGTGTTGCTTCCTCAGCCCCATCCTGGGTAAAATCGGAGACGTATACAGGGCAGGGAGAAGCTGTTTATTTCCGTGCCTGCGGCTGGAGCTTCTTAAGGATTTGAGCTGTGATGCTGGCACCTGGCAGACCACATCCTGTGCGGTTTTCAGTTTTGCTCCGTTCCTGACCCTGGTATAGCAGAAGCTTTTTCACATCTATGACACCCGCTATGTCTTGGTAAACCCTGGAAGGGAAAGGAGGACAAGGTTAAAATACTGTTCCGAGGATCTGGTCTCTCCACAGCGCAGGCTGGAGGTGGCAGCCCGTGGAAAGCCAAGTTCATCCACCATCGGAGCCCAGGCCAGGCTGCCAAGGCTAATATTCAGGACAAAGCCAGGCACAGGTCGGGAATCCTATGAAGATGATCATCGTCCTGAGGTCTTCCTTCCAGGGTTGCATCCGCGACAGAAGATGGAAAGAGAAATGGGTGAGTCCCTGCTACCACCCCACCCTCAGGTTGCTTTTTTGGCTGAACAAGAAGGGTCCTCCCAGGCAGGAAGGGTGGGGCACAGAAACGTGAGCCAATGTGGATGACTTGGGGAGGGCTTTGCAGTTGAATCTCCTGAAAACAGCAAGAAGTACAGACCTCCGGGCATTCTAGACTCAGATTCTGTAGACGCTTCCCTTTGGCCGAGCCAAGCCAGGGTTGCTCAGGAACTGGGGTCCTTGAGATTGGATTAGATTGGACGGAACGACACAGGATTGCAACGTGCAGAACTGTGAGGACCGGGGTTTAGCTTGAGTTCCCCAGTCTGTCCACGAGGTCCAAGCTTGAGATCATTACGGCGACCACATCTCAGGAGGAAGATAGGTCAGCAACGCAGTGACGTGCTGGAATAGTTTTGAAATATTTGAACTATTCTAATGCAAACTCTTCTTTTAATGACATTTCACATTGCATCTTGTGTCATTTTATTTCTGTAGATGTTGTCTTTCCACTTGACATTTAATTGGTGTTTAATTTAAGTTGCAAATATTGTGTATGTATCTGAGTCTAGTGTGAGAATCACTACTCTATGCCTGTGCATCCCACATCAAGTAACGTTTTTGAGTGAGGGAGCTGTGCCATGCTGAATCTGCAGCATGCCTTGGACATAAGCATGTAGCTTGTCTTCTCCAGCTTGGAGGAGAGTCTCAGAGGAAAGGTCTTAGAGGAATGCAAAGGTGGAGGGGTCCTCATAATATGGAACAACGACAGCTCTGTATCACCCTTCTTATGGAAAAACCCAGAATAACTGCCCATGTGTTCTGTGACCTTGGATTGTGGAGGAACAGACGGATGTCGATTCTGCCAGCCACTCCTTCCCCAGTGGGCAGCACATCCTTGCCCCCCAACCTTCCTGGGCACCTGGAGTTCAGATACTAGGGGAATATTAATCAGGGTCCAACCAGGAAAACAGAAACCCTTCTCTGCAGTTAACAGAGAGGGAAGTAAATGCAGGACGGTGCCCCTGCATTGGATCCCAGCACAGGCAAAGAACGTTGGTGGAAAGATGATGAAATCCAAAGAAAGCCTGTCAGTTAATTATTGTACCAGTGTTAATTTTTTTTTTTTTTTGGCGGATGTGCTGGGGTCGTGTAAAGCATGAACATTAGAGGGACCTGGATGAAGGGCATATGGGAACTCTCTGTACCTCTGCAACTCTTTTGCAAGTTTAAATTTATTCCCAGGTAAGAAGTGTGTTTAAAAAATGAATTAGTCGGCCGGGTGCAGTGGCTCACGCCTGTAATCTCAGCACTTTGGGATGCCAAGGTGGGCGGATCACCTGAGGTCGGGAGTTCGAGACCAGCTTGACCAACATGGAGAAACCCCGTCTCTACTAAAAATACAAAATTAGCTGGGCATGGTGGTGCGCACCTGTAATCCCAGCTACTCAGGAGGCCGAGACAGGAGAATCGCTTGAACCCGGGAGCCAAGATTGCACCATTACACTCCAGCCTGGGCAACAAGAGTGAAACTCAGTCTCAAAATAAATATATAAATAAATAAATAAATAAATAAATCAGTCAACAAATACATATCAAAAAGGAACCAGTGGCCACATGGAGGCAAAGGAGCATGAGGAATCTTCTGAGCAGTGAAGAAAATCTTGGATATGTTGGTGGTTTCACAGCTGTCAGAATTCACTGAATTGCACAGATTAAGTGGATGCAGTTTGTGTGCAAAGGATCCTTTGATAAAGCTGAATAAAAATCACTAATGAAGACCTAAAGTGAAAAGAGGCAGGGAGGATAATCTAATGCATAGAAACCATTATGCCAGTAAAAGAAGAGTCAGAAGCAGGAAAGTCATTCTCAGGAGCCACTGTGTTTTGGCCTCATGTTCAATGCTAAGTTTCAAAACAAATGTAGTATTCCTTGCAACCATGAGAAGTTGGTGAGTG
Organism: Homo sapiens; assembly: GCF_000001405.40. NCBI lineage: Eukaryota > Metazoa > Chordata > Mammalia > Primates > Hominidae > Homo > Homo sapiens. The sequence goes on along the minus strand of NW_003571060.1, from coordinate 272,955 downwards.
ATTTGAAATCATTCTTATGATGAGGTGGAAGCTTTTGGAATCTGTACCCCTGCACTTTATCCTTGTCCTCATGATTTACAAAACCATGAAAATAAAGCTCAGTTAATTCATCATCATCAAGGTGAGCTCCAGGTTCAGTATTCAGCTTGAGGCTGGGGACTCCATCTTTCTTTAACTTTTGACTGCATAGCCTTCACTTAGTTTTTATATCTCTTAGGCATTACAAAAAATTAGGCCAGGCGCGGTGGCTCACGCCTGTAATCCCAGCACTTTGGGAGGCCGAGGCGGGTGGATCATGAGGTCAGGAGATCGAGACCATCCTGGCTAACAAGGTGAAACCCCGTCTCTACTAAAAATACAAAAAATTAGCCGGGCGTGGTGGCGGGCGCCTGTAGTCCCAGCTACTGGGGAGGCTGAGGCAGGAGAATGGCGTGAACCCGGGAAGCGGAGCTTGCAGTGAGCCGAGATTGCGCCACTGCAGTCCGCAGTCCGGCCTGGGCGACAGAGCGAGACTCTGTCTCAAAAAAAAAAAAAAAATTAAAAAAAATATATATTTTTTTAGATGGAGTCTGGCTCTGTCACCCAGGCTGGAGTGCAATGGCACGATCTCGGCTCACTGCAAGCTCCGCCTCCCGGGTTCACACCATTCTCCTGCCTCAGCCTCCTGAGTAGCTGGGACTACAGGCGCCCACCACCACGCCCGGCTAATTTTTTGTATTTTTAGTAGAGACGGGGTTTCACCGTGTTAGCCAGGATGGTCTCGATCTCCTGACCTCATGATCTGCCCACCTCGGCCTCCCAAAATGCTGAGAAGATTACAGGCGTGAGCCATTGCACCCGGCCTAAAAAATCTTTAACATATTATATTAAGCAGTTTTAGTTGGTTTATTGTTATTTTTTAGATGGATTGCTGTCTTATGGACTCACAGAAAATTGGATTAGATTGGAAGGATATACCAGGGACTGTAACATGCAGAACTCTTTGAGGACCAGGGTTTAGCTTGAATTCCCCTGTCTGTCCACGAGATCCAAGTTTGTGATCATTACTGTCACCACGTCTCAGGAGGAAGACTGGTCAGCAAGGCAGTGATCATGCTGGAATGTTTTTGAAACGTTTGGACTATTCTGATGCAAACTCATCTTTTAATGACATTTCACACTACATCTCATGTCACTATATATGTTTTTAAATTTTTAATTTTTGTGTATACATAGTAGGTGTATATATTTATGGGGTAGATGAGATGTTTTGGTACAGCACGTGACTCCCTCTTAGTTATGCAAATTTCTCCAGCAAGTCGTTGCCCAGCAGCCTACTTGAATTCCTCCCCTGAAAACGGACTTTTCTTTTCTACCATGTGGCTAGTCCGCAAATTTTTCGAACTTTTACACTTTGCTTCTCTTTTAAATATAAACTCTACCTTTAGGTAATTTCTTTGCTCCCACATCTGAGCCTAGGTTGGTACAAGAAGCCATGCCACTTGAACACTTTGTTGCTTAGAAATTTCTTCTGACTTGGCCAGGCTTGGTGGTTCACGCCTGTAATCCCAGCACTTTGGGAGGCCGAGGCGGGTGGATCACGAGGTCAGGAGATCGAGACCATCCTGGCTAACACGGTGAAACCCCGACTCTGCTAAAAATACAAAAAATTAGCCGGGCGTGGTGGTGGGTGCCTGTAGTCCCAGCTAATCGGGAGGCTGAGGCAGGAGAATGGCTTGAATCTGGGAGGCAGAGGTTGCAGGGAGCCGAGATCGCACTGCTTCACTCCAGCCTGGGCAACAGAGCGAGACTCCGTTTAAAAAAAAAGAAAAGAAATTTCTTCCGCCAGACACCCTGGCGTGGTATCTCTAGGGCATGGACAGAATGCAGCCACGTTGTTTGCTAAGGCGTAACAAAGGTGGCTTTCGCTCTAGTTCCAAGTAAGATCCTTATTTCCAGCTGAGACCTTGTCAGCCTGGACTTCGCTGTTCACATCACTATCAGCATTTTGGTCACAACCATTTAATCCATCTCTAAGAAGTTTCAAACATTCCCTTCTCTTCCTGTCTTCCTCCGGGCCCTCCAAATAACATGAGGTCTATTCCGTTAACAAATTTCAAGTGAACAAGACGTTATTGCTGACGATGGGTCGTATGTGGTGCAGCAGATCTCTAGGCCTGTTTGTTAATAACTCCCCATTTCCCCCTCCTCCCAGCCCCCGTAACCACCATTCCCTGCTGTGATGTTGTGACTCTGGTGACTTTGCAGATCTCCTGTAAGTGACATCATGCAGTACTTGGTCTCTGCCTCTGCGTCGCTTGGCGTGATGTCCTCAGGTTTCGTCCGTGTTGTCGCCCATGGCAGAATTTTCTTCCTTGTTTAAGGCTGAATAGTATTCCCCTGTGTGTGCACCACATTTTCTATATCAATTATTCTATCAATGGACATTTAGATGGTTTTCACGTCTTAGCTATTGCGAATAGTGCTGCAGTGATCAGGGGAGTTCAGACGGCTCTTTGACATACTGATTTTTTTTTTTTTTTTAGACAGAGTCTTGCTGTTGTTGCCCAGGCTGGAGGGCAATGGTGCAATCTCAGCTCACTGCAACCCCTGCCTTCTGGGTTCAAGCGATTCTCCTGCCTCAACCTTCCAAGTAGCTGTGCCCACCACCACACCCAGCTAATTTTTTGTATTTTTAGTAGAGACAGGGTTTCACTATGTTGGCCAGGCTGGTCTCGAATTTATGGCCTCAGGTGATCCACCCACCCCGGCCTCCCGAAGTGCTGGGATTACAGCTGTGAGCCACTGCGCCTGGCCTGTTTCTTTTAAATACAGACCCAGAAGTGGGATTGCTGGACCATATGGTAGCTCTATTTTTAATTTTTTGAGGAACCTCCCCACTGTTCTCTATAGTGATTGCCCAATTTTTAATTCCTACTGTGGTATGCGAGGGATCCAGTTTCTCCACATCCTCACCAATACTGTCTCCTTAAAAAAATAATATGCTTTGTAGGATATTTTTAACATGTTAAATACCTTGTCGGGATTTTAGCATAGATCACAATATTAAAAACTTGGGGAAGGATTTCTATGGCTCCCATTTGTAATACAAGGAAATGTCAGCTTCTAGTTTTGTAACGTCTTGCCCAAGAGCTGCGACCGTTAACTTGTGGAGTTGGGACGGCGTCCAAGTCAATTGGTTGCCCGACCTTTATTCTGCCTTGTCCCATAGATTTAGAAAGAGGCTGACACATCTGGTAACTAGTTTACGGTCATCTGCCTCTAAGCGACATTTAGGGTAAGCGACATTTTTCAGAAACCAAGGCCCTCCCTCTCGTCTCACTAGTGGGAAGGGTGGAAAGAACAGGACAGAAAGCTCTTCCTCTTGTGTGAGGCAGTTGCTGTGGAAGCCCCATAGGCAGGAGGCCCCCGGGCAGCACATCCTGTCTGCTTGTGTCTGCTGCAGAGTTCTGTCCTTGCATTGGTGCGCCTCAGGCCAGGCTGCACTGCTGGGACCTGGGCCATGTCTCCCCACCCCACCGCCCTCCTGGGCCTAGGTGAGTCCTGGAGGCAGCCGGGAGGCTGGAAAGGGGGTCGGGAGGTCTGGAAAATTCCCTGCTCAAGCCTGACTCTAGTCCAGAAGATTCTGGGGAGGAAAGTGTCCTCCTCCTCCCAAGACTGCCCTGCTGCTCTCCCTGGGGCCTAAGTCTGATCAGAGAAGATCTTGTCCTAAAAACAGGGGCCCGGGTGTGGGGATGAGGTCAGCTTTAAGAAGGGCTGGGGGAGCAGGAGCCTTTTTGGAGGAGGAGACTTTGGGATTTATCTTGAAACCATTTTGCAGCAAGAAGGATTACATGGAGACAGTGATGTCGAGGAGGGTTGGCTTGGTCGTTATGAAATGCTGAATGCCCCCCAGCTCCATCGAGCCCCCTTTTGACAGCAGCCCCGTAAGGAGACTGGGCACTGGGCATTTTTCTCACTGGGGCTTCTCTTCCAGTGCTCTGCCTGGCCCAGACCATCCACACGCAGGAGGGTAAGTCATGCCTTCGTCCCATCTTCCCAGTCCCCTCTGTCACCCCAAGGGCAGTGCTGGGTGGGAGTGATGTTGATTCTTAGAGGGCCTGGAGAGATCCCTTTAAATATACCCTAGATTGCAAACTCTTCCAAATGTAAAATGCATAACCAACCCTCACCCAGTTCTCTCTCGCATCCTCCACCTGTCTTATTTTGCTTTTCTTATTTTCAAAAATTTTATTTTTAATTGACAAATAATTGCAATTTGCGGGGTACAGTGTGATATTATGACGTATGTACACATTGTGGAAAGATTAAATAAAGCTGATTAACATATCAGCCCCATCACATACTTATTGTGATGAGAATATTTTAAATCTCCTTTTAGCAATTTTGAAATATACAATAAATTATTATGAACTACTGTCATTCTGCTGTGCCATAGATCTGAAAAATTCACTCGTCCTGGCTACTCGAAACTTTGTATCATTTGATCAGTGTCTCTCCCATGCCCCGCACCTGCAGCCTCCAATAACCACCATTCTACTCTGCTTCCGGGTGATCAACTTTTCTTAGATTCCACAGATAAGTGAGAACGCGCAGTAATTGTCTTTCTGTGCCCGGCTTATTTCACTTAGCCTAACGTCCTCTGGTTCATCCATGTTGTTGCGAATGACAGAATGTCCTTCCTTTTTTAGGGCTGAATAATATTCCATTGCATATACACAGCACATTCTCCTCATCCATTCATTTGGTGGTGGGCACTCAGGTTCTTGCCAGGTCTTGGCGGCTGTGAGTAGCGCTGCGGTCACCCTGGGAGTGCAGGGGTCAGCTCCGCACACCGATTTCCACAATGAGAATTCAAACCCAACACAACCAAGGCTGAGCCCGGCACTTTTCCCCAGACGAGCCCACACTTCACTCGGCAGCTTCTTGGCGGGGAACGTGACAGTCACAAAGGGCAGACTCTGAACACTCATCCTCTTCTCCATCCTCCTGGATGCACCATGTCACCCAGTCCTGGTGATTTCACTCTAAATTTTTCTCATCTTTCCCTCTCTCTTCATCGACTTTTCCTGCATCACCCCCAGGTGACAGCCCCTCTCCCCTCCGTGGCTGCCCGAGGCCGGCCTCAGCCTGTCCATTGCCACTGCTGCCTGCTCCCTTCCTGACCCCAGGGACTGGCGATTTGCAAAAGCACAACCATGACCATTGTACTTTCCACAGTTTTTAAATTGTATTCAAAAATTTTCATTTAATATCTCATCGTAAGATGAAATCTTTTTTTTTTTTTCTCAGAGCCCTTCCCCTGTTTATCTTCAGATAGAATCAGACCTGTGCACCTCTCTTTGGTCTGGACATGCCCATTTTCCCAGCCACATCCTGTCCCTGTGACCTGGGGCTCACTCATCTCTACATTCCTCCAGGTTCTTTCGCTTTCTCAAACACTCCATATGCCGCTCAATATGGTGGTTCTTCTCACATGCTGATTTTGAAAAAAAATAATTCATTTTAAAAATGACCAATGAGGCTGGGTGCGGTGGCTCACATCTGTAATCCCAGCACTTTGGGAGGCGGAGGTGGGTGGATCACTTGAGGTCAGAAGTTTGAGACCAGCCTGGACAACATGGGGGAAACCCCGTCTCTACTAAAAATACAAAAATTAGCTGGGCGTGGTGGAGTGCACCTGTAATCCCAGCTACTCAGGAGGCTGAGGCAGGAGAATTGCTTGAACCTTGGAGGCGGAGGTTGCAGTGAGCTGAGATTGCGCCACTGCACTCCATCCTGGGTGACAGAGCAAGACTCTGTCAGTTCACAGCTGCAGATTTGGACAATTCTTTGATCAATACCGGTCCTCCCTTCTGGAAGTCCACCTCCAAACGGCAGGCATCCTGTGTGTGTTTCTCACATTTGTGGAATTAGCAGCCCATGAAAAACGTCTTTAAACAGATTGATAAGTAACTGAGATATGGTTAAAAGAAAGAAAAATGAACAAATGGGTGGGTTTGGGGAGATGCTGGTCAAAGGATAGAAAATTTCGTCTAGACAGGAAGAGTAAGTTCAGGATTGTGCAACACAATGACTAGAGTTAATCACAATGTATCATATGCTTGAAAATCACTAAGAGGGCAGATTTTAAATGTTCTCACCACAACAATTAACTACGCAAAGTGAGGTTATATTAATTAGCTTGATTCAGCGATTCCACAGTGTATACCTGTATCAAAACATCATGTTGTACACCTTAAATACATGCAGTTTTAATTTGTCAATAATAAGGAATGAATGAAGACGGGACGAGTGAATTGAAGCCCTGCCAGCTCTCTGCCCCGCTCAGGGATTTTGCTAATTTTGACACAACCTTCCTGTTTCAGGGCGTCAAACCCGCCCTTCCTCCTCCACCCCAAGCCCAGTTGAGATAAATGGGGTTTTTCAAGAGCCTTAATAAGAAGGAAATGCAAATTAGGCTGAGAAGAAAGTAGAAACTATAGAGGAAAACCCAGAGGTGGTGTCTCCACAGAGATCTGCATTAGCAATGGGGACCTGTCACGGGCTGGGCATCTGCTGTGAGCAGATCAGGGCTGGGGGCTTCACCCTCACCCCACCAGACCCTCAAAGGAGCCTGGCAACCCCCGTCCCACACTCAGTCCCACCCGGGGACCGGCCAGTGCCCTTCAGGCCCCAGCACAAGCCATCTCCAGAGCCCTCGCTTCTCTGTCCCTTGTCCTTCACCAATGACCCTGTCATCCCCATCCTGTGCCTCCCTCCCACACTCTGTCCCTCTGGAAAGTGGCCCTGGGCTCTGCAGCAGGCATGAAGGGCTCCAGGCTGCTCCGACACTTCCCACATGACCCTGAGCAAGGCCCAAGTTGTGAGCAAGTCTCAGGGTCCTCACTGTCAACTGGGAAAAAACTCTGCAGTGATGAGAATCACATGCACGTAGAAGGTGCAGGAGGCTTGGGAATGTTCTAAGGTTGGGCTGTGGTCATGGCTGCATAACTCTATAAAATTGCTAAAATCCCTGAATTGTGATGCTAAAATGACGTGTGTGGCATGGTGACTTCCTACAGTGGACGCTGAGATCCTGCTCTGCTTCCCTCCTAGAAGATCTGCCCAGACCCTCCATCTCGGCTGAGCCAGGCACCGTGATCCCCCTGGGGAGCCATGTGACTTTCGTGTGCCGGGGCCCGGTTGGGGTTCAAACATTCCGCCTGGAGAGGGAGAGTAGATCCACATACAATGATACTGAAGATGTGTCTCAAGCTAGTCCATCTGAGTCAGAGGCCAGATTCCGCATTGACTCAGTAAGTGAAGGAAATGCCGGGCCTTATCGCTGCATCTATTATAAGCCCCCTAAATGGTCTGAGCAGAGTGACTACCTGGAGCTGCTGGTGAAAGGTGAGGACGTCACCTGGGCCCTGCCCCAGTCTCAGCTCGACCCTCGAGCTTGTCCCCAGGTCCCTGGACCCTGTCCCAGCTGCTGTCCTCTGTGGCCAACCTTGTCCTCCTCCTGACCGCCAAGCCCTCCCCTTCCCCTCTCCGTCTGCACACACCTCCCCTCTGCCTCATACTTGCTTAGGTCCCTGGAGCCCTGATCTCCTCTGGACGCCACGGATGGCGTGGACACTCAGCTCCAGCATCTGGTGGGCTCAGAGCTGGCTCTGCTTGGCTGGGTGGGGAGTGGGTTCCCAGAGATTAGGGGGCAACCCCCCTACAAGAGGATGAGTGTCTTTTCACACGGGATGGATGGTCCCGCTTATTCCTTTCCACTGAGCCAGAACCTGCCCCAGGCAATGTGCTTCTCCTGGAGTGGTTCATCTCCCACTGGGCAGAACGCAGGGTCCAGGGATGGCCCCTGACCAGGGCGGGACAGTGCTTTGGGAAAACCTTTGGTATGTGACCACATGCACTCCTGTGTGTGCTCAGCCCGAGATGTCCTGGAGTCAAAGTCCACTGGAGAGGCTCCAATCCACCTTCATGTCCCCCCAGGACCTCAAAGGTCCCCTGAGGTCAAGAAGAGCTTGTGGTGGGAGGAGCAGAGGGAGTGACCAGCCCCAGGGAGAATGGGGCAAGCAGCGGGGCTCTCCCCAGCCTCCTGTCCCCTGCCTCGTTTTCTCAGGAGTCTCGAGACATTGTCTGGGATTGCGTGATGGTCATGCGGCCTTTGGATGGGGGCTCAGGGTGGAGGAGGGCAGGTTGGTTGGGACGGGTTCTAAATCCTTCTCCTGCCCCTGTTTACAGAAACCTCTGGAGGCCCGGACTCCCCGGACACAGAGCCCGGCTCCTCAGCTGGTCAGTAGCAGGGCCCTCAGCTGGAGGGGATTACAGGGGAATCTGTGCTGCGGATGCTGTTCCGGGTCCAGCCCTCTGCCCTGGGCTTGGAGTCAAGGTCTAGGGAGGCCACGGGAAGGCACCGACACCCACCAAGCTCTGGGAGGTCGCTAATGCTCACAGAGACCATAGCAGCAATGGTACAGTGATTGCAACCTTGTTCCATGCCAGGAACTGTGGAAAGCACTTAATGCAAGCACCACTTAATGGGGGAGGTACTAGTCTGATCCTCTAACTCCTCCTCCTCTCTAATATGCAAAACATAAATTAAAGTTTCGTGCTTAACGGCACAAGGCCATGAAGGGGCAGGGGCCACCCACCCGGGCAGCCCCACCCCAGACTTCCGGGCTCGCCCGAGCTCCACGCTGCCCCCTTGTGGGCGTGGCCTCACCATTCACCCCGCTCTGCACCTGATGGAGGGACTTAGAACTCACCTTCCAACCTGGGACACCCGGAGAGGGACGGGGCTGCTCCTGTTGGCTCTGTGATCTCCGGGGGAGGCCTGAACGGTGGAGTAAGGTCCCTTAAGAGGAGGAGGGCTCCACAGGGAGGGGACGTAGCTGTGAACGGTGACCAGGATGAAGCCATGAGGCTTCCCTTCCATCTGGCTCTGCCCTGGACTCTGTGATGGGATTGAAGCTGCCCCAAGTCCCTGGGTCTCAAGTTGTCCATCTCCCCCTGTGATCTGTGACCAGAAACTCCCAGGGGAGGACACGGGGTCATAAGCCATTCGCGGCCCCTTCCCCACCTGGGTTTCTATCCCCAGAGTACGTCCTTGGACCTAGACCCGGTGACTGCCTGTGAGGCTCGGGCTGTGAGCTCAGGCAGGTGGGACCAGGGGCTGAAGCCACATGGGGAGGTGGGAGGAGCGATGCCGTGCTCCATCCGGACCCCCTCAGAGGCTCCTGGGCTGCTGGGGCACAGCGGGACATGCTCCTGAGTCCCGCAGACCTGGTTCAAGTCCAGTGTCTGGTTTTTATTAGCCTTCTGTCTGCGGGAATATCTTGCCTCTGTTTCTCTCCCTCTCTTCTTCTCCTTCCTTCTCTCTTCTCTCACCTTCATGCAGTGACATATAAAGGTCACGAGGACAGACCCTCCTGCAGCCAGATTGCTGGGTTCATGGTTCAAATCCCGGTGGTTCTGCCACCTCCTGGCTCTATGCCTGACGGTGACTCACCCAAACCTCCTGTGTCCCAAATTCCTCATGTGAAACAGAGGCAATAGAAGAGCTGTCCTGGTAGAATCGTTTAGGGCAGACTTGAGTTCAGGTACACACGGCGCTGACATCAGTGCTGATTAGAAAACCCCAAAGGAGGGATGCTCCTATTAATACTGAGGAAGTATTTTGTCCTCACAGGGACTGTGCCAGGCACTGAAGCCTCCGGATTTGATGCACCATGAATGAGGAGAAATGGCCTCCCGTCTTGTGAACTTCAATGGGGAGAAATAGTTAGAATGAGCAATAGAAATGCACTGATTCCCATACATGCATATACAGATAAAAATATATGATTTGCAATGTAGAATTTCAGACCTATAATTTAAATTATATTATATATGTTTACATCATAATATATATATATTATATATATATTATATATATAAGGAAGATAATTATATAATAAAACATGTTAGTGTATCACTACATATGACTATAGTGTATATTATATATTATATGAAAGATATATTTACAATATATAGTATAATAAATTTCAAGTGTTATAGTTAATAAATAAATATAGGTATTAATGTAAATATATTATCTATTATGTATACATTATGTATAACTATAATAGAAAAAATATTTTATATTTAATCATAGGTTTATATCAAATATAAATTATACATTATATATTATAGTGAATATATGTAACATATATTATAAGTTATAAATCATATACAATTAACATTATATACATTAAATTATATGTATATGTCAAGATTACATAATTAAAAATATATTTGTTATATATTATACATTTGCATAATACATGATACATATAACTATAAATAATATAAAAACTGTAATATTGCACATATATAATACATATGTAATTTTAAATGGTGGCAAATGTTATGAAGACCAAGCCCAGGAAGTCATGGTGTAGAATAACGGGTGGTGTCCTGGACCTTAGACCGTGGACGAGGCAGGAGGGAAGGACATTCCAAGAGAGAATGTCTGCCTTTCTTGAAGGATATTGAAGATGCTGCCTCAGCCCCGGGGGAGGGGAGGGACCGCTGTTCCTGGAAGAGGGACGCTTGGCTCGGACCCTGGGTTTGGGGGAGCCCCTCAGGACCCCATTTAGCCACCTGGGAATTGGGTAGTGGCGTGCACTGTGCAGAGGAGGGTGAAGGTTGGAGGAGATGACGGGCGGGCCTGCAATGCGCTGCGTAGGGAGCCTGGGCGGTGCCCCACACACTCGCCCGCTAGCTGCAGGGCTTCAGGAAAGAGGAGCACATCGGGACTTGGATTCTTCCCACAGGAGGGCGGGTTACATCCCCGTCAGAGGGTTGCCGCGAGGGCAGATAAAATCAGACATGAGGATTCTTGCCCTCTGGTGGGAACCCAGAAGGAGGTCAGGGAGGGAAGGTCTCCCTTCCTCTTGTTGCGGGTGGTTGGTCTCTGCCTAGATCCGCAGAGGGCAGAAATTAGCGATGTCTACTACAGCTTCACGCCCAGGAAACGCGCTGTATCTGCACCGTCCAGTAGGGATGGCATCAGGCCCGTGGGGTCACTGAGTCCTGGAGGTGCAGACGGTGCAGCCAGCTTCTCATGCCATTCAACTTTGGATAAATTTAAATATCAATAGCTATGTGTGACTCTCATGCTGGACAGTAGATGTAGAAAGTTTCCATCATCACAGAAGACTCTGCTGGTCGGTGCTGGTCTAGAGGGAGCAGTCAGGGTCCTGGGGAGTGAAGGGAGATCCCCACAGTGGATGTGGGAGGACTCAGAGCCTTCTCTGTCCAGCTCAGGACTCTAACTCCTCCTCCTTCTGATTCCTCCCTCCCAGGACCCACGCAGAGGCCGTCGGACAACAGTCACAATGAGCGTGAGTGATGGGGGCCGTGGAGCATGAAGCTGGTGTGTGCCTCTTGGGGAAGGAGAAAGAGGTCAGGCTTTGGGGTTGATCAGATTCCTGCTCTGCCAATGGCAGTCTGTGTCCCTGTGCAGAGGACTCCAGCACTCAGGACCCCGGTGGTGGAAGAAGGGGATAACGATCCCTGTACTGCAGGACTATTATTTACCTAAGATATTTTATATATTAGTAAGTCTATGAAACGCACGTGACGTGTGTGTGGTATACAGTAGGTGCTCAATAAATGCACACTGCTGAAATCCTGTTTCTGTCTTTCTTAGATGCACCTGCTTCCCAAGGCCTGAAAGCTGAGCATCTGTATATTCTCATCGGGGTCTCAGTGGTCTTCCTCTTCTGTCTCCTCCTCCTGGTCCTCTTCTGCCTCCATCGCCAGAATCAGATAAAGCAGGGTAGGTCTCAGGGGCAGGGTGGGGTGACCTGGGAAGCTGTCAGGAGAGGCTAGGAAGAAGGTCTCCTTAATTCACACCCCGACTGTCCTTAGGGCCCCCCAGAAGCAAGGACGAGGAGCAGAAGCCACAGCAGAGGTGAGGCCCCTGGGAATGACTCCTGGACCTCCACCCAGTCCTCGGCCGCCAGGCTGCCCCTGAGGTTCACTTTTATTTTTCCTCTTAGGCCTGACCTGGCTGTTGATGTTCTAGAGAGGACAGCAGGTAAAGGGGGAGGAGGAGGGACAGGCCTGGGATGGGGAAGTGGGGACTTGGTGCCAATCCAGATGCAATGTGGGGGGTGGGGGGAAGAATCTTTGGGAACATTCTAGAAGGTCGTATTATACATTGGGTGCAGGATGTCATCGGAAGCTGGGGGTGGGGGTCTCAGGCAGATTTGCCTTGCGACATCCTCCCCAGAAAACTGACCATGTATTTTCTCCCCAAGACAAGGCCACAGTCAATGGACTTCCTGAGAAGGACAGAGAGACGGACACCTCGGTGAGCCTTCCTACTAGTTATTAAAGTACCCCAAATTTAGCAGCTTAAAAAAATCTCAGTTCCTTGGGTTAGGAATTCAGGAGTGGCTCAGCTGGGCGGTTCCGGCTCACGGCCTGTCCTGAGGTTGCTGTCGAGAGGTCGCCCAGGGCTGTGTGCATCCGAAGGCTCCCGTGGGCTGGAGGATCCACGTCCAAGACGCTCACTTCCCCGGCTGTGGGCAGGAAACCTCTGTTCCTCTCACAGGGGCCTCTCCACACAGCCGGCTTCCCCCAGAGGGAGGGATCCAAGGATGGGTGGCAGGGAGGGGACAGAAGCACCATGTCTTTTGGCTCAGCTTGGAAGTCAGGAGTCTTCCCTTCTGCCTTGTTCATTGTCACGTAAACCAACCCCAATACCCTGTGGGAGGGCTCTTCACACGGATGCAATTTAGGAGAGGGTCCTCAGGGCCCATGGAGATGGCCGCCACAGCCCTCCCTCCCCACAGCCCCTCGCCTCACCCTCCACCAGGCACTCCCTCACCCTGGGTCTCTCCCTCTTAGGCCCTGGCTGCAGGGAGTTCCCAGGAGGTGACGTATGCTCAGCTGGACCACTGGGCCCTCACACAGAGGACAGCCCGGGCTGTGTCCCCACAGTCCACAAAGCCCATGGCCGAGTCCATCACGTATGCAGCCGTTGCCAGACACTGACCCCATACCCACCTGGCCTCTGCACCTGAGGGTAGAAAGTCACTCTAGGAAAAGCCTGAAGCAGCCATTTGGAAGGCTTCCTGTTGGATTCCTCTTCATCTAGAAAGCCAGCCAGGCAGCTGTCCTGGAGACAAGAGCTGGAGACTGGAGGTTTCTAACCAGCATCCAGAAGGTTCGTTAGCCAGGTGGTCCCTTCTACAATCGAGCAGCTCCTTGGACAGACTGTTTCTCAGTTATTTCCAGAGACCCAGCTACAGTTCCCTGGCTGTTTCTAGAGACCCAGCTTTATTCACCTGACTGTTTCCAGAGACCCAGCTAAAGTCACCTGCCTGTTCTAAAGGCCCAGCTACAGCCAATCAGCCGATTTCCTGAGCAGTGATGCCACCTCCAAGCTTGTCCTAGGTGTCTGCTGTGAACCTCCAGTGACCCCAGAGACTTTGCTGTAATTATCTGCCCTGCTGACCCTAAAGACCTTCCTAGAAGTCAAGAGCTAGCCTTGAGACTGTGCTATACACACACAGCTGAGAGCCAAGCCCAGTTCTCTGGGTTGTGCTTTACTCCACGCATCAATAAATAATTTTGAAGGCCTCACATCTGGCAGCCCCAGGCCTGGTCCTGGGTGCATAGGTCTCTCGGACCCACTCTCTGCCTTCACAGTTGTTCAAAGCTGAGTGAGGGAAACAGGACCTACGAAAACGTGTCAGCGTTTTCTTTTTAAAATTTAATTGATCAGGATTGTACGTATTCAAGGTGTAAAATGTGATAATTTGTCGTACACGTACATTGTGCAATGACAGTCACAATCAATTCCTCAGCGCACCCATCGCCACGGATACGATACATTAGATATTCTGAACTTGCTCATCTTAGGACTTCACATTGGTGTCAGTGTTTTCTGACAAATCACGTGTATCAGGAATGAATGAGGGAGGTGTGGCTGGGTGAAGGCAGAGAGCCGACCCTACAGGTCCACATCTGCACATACATGCACAGGAATGCATGCTCTCACACACATGCATACACACACGCACACACACAGACATGCACATACACTCACACGCCCCAGGAAATCCAAGGAATCACTGAGCCTGCTGTTGGTTGAGGCATTTCTGAGTATCCACCCTACCTGTAGGGTCAGATGTACTGATTGACACAGAAAATTACCCTATGTACCACTAGGAGGCGGCAGAATCTCATTTGGGTTAATCTGTGTTTGTCTTTAAAAAACAAAAACAGGCCGGGCATGGAGGCTCACGCCTGTAATCCCAGCACTTTGGGAGGCTGAGGTGGGCGGATCACGAGGTCAGGAGATCGAGACCATCCTGGCTAACACGGTGAAACCCCATCTCTACTAAAAATACAAAAAAATTAGCCGGGTGTGGTGGTGGGTGCCTGTAGTCCCAGCTACTCGGGAGGCTGAGGGAGGAGAATGGCGTGAACCCGGGAGGCGGAGTTTGCAGTGAGCCGAGGTGGTGCCACTGCACTCCAGCCTGGGCGACAGAGCGAGACTCCGTCAAAAAAGAAAAGAAAAGAAAAGAAAGATTTTTAAGAATTC